>NC_000001.11:58038683-58190198 GCF_000001405.40 Homo sapiens | reverse complement strand
GAATTTAGAGTCCTTTACATTGGGTTCAGATTCTAGATCCAGTGGTCATCAGACTGTAAGGTACCTGGAAATCATCAGGAAATCTTGTAAAAATGCCCCACTCCCAGATGTTCTAATCCAGTATTAGCTGACCTGGGTCTCAGAAAGCAGAAGCCGAGGCAAAAGCTTACAAATACTACTACCTTACTGTGGACTAAAGTCCCAAGAAGTATCAGGAGGGGAAGAGGGAGTGAGGAAAGGAAAAAGGAGGACAAATACAAGGGTGTGCCATTGAGCTGGCTACCACTTCATGTCAGGTGAAGCCAATTTCTCACAAGACTGTCTTCCAGTAGCCCATGGGACCCCTGTGCCTCAGGATGGTCAGAGCATGGGAGGAAGGGAGAAGAACTGATCCATCTCCCATTCCCATGGGTTAAAGGCTTGCCCCATGGAGCATTTACTTGTTTGTACTTCCACATTGAAAATACATGTTGCCAAGTCCGTGACTTCTTGTGCCTCAGCCAGGGTAGTAAGGACAAGAGATAAGGGCACAGGCCATTGGTGTGACCAAAGTGCTGTCAGTTTGCCTGCTTTGGAAGTCAGTGGGGACCTGCAACCAGTGGGCAGGGCTGGTTGTTAGCGGGATGCTGGGGTGGAACAGAGGGCCAGGAAAAGCTAAGTGCATCTTGAGTGGCACATCGGAGGTGTCTGGTTAAACCCTAAATGATAGAAATGAGGGTGGTCTAGGGAATGTACTTTGAGAAACTTGTCCTAGACAGAATGACCTTCCACAAACCACTTAAATTCTCTGCATGCCAGTTTCATCATTTGTAAAATTAATAGAATGACATTTAAACTCACTTTCCTGAATATAAAATTAAATAAACCTTATGGAAAAACTACTTAAATGACACCCAGACTACAAATCTGGACTGCTATTTTGCATTGGAACAGCTGAAGGATAGCTAGGAATAAAAACATCCTTTCCTGCTTTCAGTAACATTCACAGAGTTGAAGAAGCTTGTGGTTGATAACTTTGGACATTGTAATTAACCAAATATGACAAAGCTGAATTTTGTGGAAAGCAAGCCAGCAATCCATGCAACAGTTAACACATTTTAAAGGTTAATTTTGTGCTAAAATGCTGGGTGGGGGGTGCAAAGGCAAATAAAATAGTGCTCTATGGACATGTAAAAAAACAACAAGCAATTTGGGAATTGTACTTCTGTTTACCCTTCTAATTATAAGGCTAATTAAACCCTGATTAGTGGCTGTGGTGTATAAATACTTTTGCTGTGCTTGGTTCCCTTGTGGAACATTCAGGACCCATGAAATTCAGGTACACAAGCAAACTTCCATTTACTGGAGGCTCAGCTACCTTCAGCTTTGGTCATACAAGTGTAAACAGAGAAAAACAAAGCATAATCAGTGAGTTACCTCCTTTCCTAGTCTTTGATGGTGACAGGTATACATAACCACCACCATCAATTTCTAGCAAGTTCTGATATTATTGAATGAATTACAAGTTGTTAAAACATCATGGCTTGATTGTTTTTGAACCATAGCATTTCCACTAAAGAGGCTCTTTTATCTTTGGACAACTGAATCGTCCAGTGATCACCTGTAATGCATCAAATCCTAGCTCCGTGATTATAAACATGGGATCTTAGTATTAGACAGGCCTTAGGGGTTATACGATTTAGCTTCCACTCAGAGTAGGAACATGCTATTTTAGATGAATGTTTACAGTGTTGGGAAACTCAGTACCTGAATACCCAGTCACTTCTCTTAGGGGAGAATGCTCATTAATAGAATATGTTGTGAATTCTAAACAATGGTCCAAAGTGGAGATTGTAGACCAAGTCATATATTAAATCGATTCTCTATCAAACATTTTCTGTAAAGAACCAAATAGCAAATATTTTAGGCTTTGAATACTAGCCGCGTATGATCTCTGTCACATATTCTTTGTTTTTTGTTTTATTTTACACACTATAAAAATGCAAAAACTGGCTGAGTATGGTGGCTTATGCCTGTAATCCCAGCACTTTGGGAGGCCAAGGCAGGTGGATCACCTGAGGCCAGAAGTTTGAGACCAGTCTGGCCAACATGGTGAAACCCCATCTCTACTAAAAATACAAAAATTCACTGGGCATGGTGGCAGGCTCCTGTAATCCCAGCTACTAAGGAGGCTGAGGCAGGAGAATCGCTTGAATATGGGAGGCAGAGGTTGCAGTGAGCTGAGACCAAGGGACTGCACTCCAGCCTGGGTGTAAGAGCGAGACTCTGTCTCAAGAAAAAAAAAAAAAATTCTTATCTCACAGGTCAAAGAAAAAAAAAAAAACAGGCCAGGTGGCTCACACCTGTAATCCCAGCACTTTGGGAGGCCAAGGCAGGTGGATCACTTGAGGTCAGGAGTTCAAGACCAACCTAGCCAACATGGGGAAAACCTATTTCTACTAAAAATACAAAAATTAGCTGGTGTGGTGGTGCACACCTGTAATCACAGCTACTCTGGAGGCTAAGGCATGAGAATTGCTTGAATCTGGGAGGCGAAGGTTGCAGTGAGCTAAGATCATGCCATTGCACTCCAGCCTGGGTGACAAGAGTGCAACTCTTTCTCAAAAATTATAATAATAATAATAATAATAATATATAAAATATACATAAATCTTAAATATACCCACACACATGTATTTAGCAGAATTTTCCTGGGTGCTTTGTAGTCAGGCTTCTTTTTTTTTCAGACAGGGTCTTACTGTGTGGTCCCAGGCTGGAGTGCAGTAGCATGATGTAGCTCACTACAACCTAAACTCCGAGGCTCAAGTAATCCTCCCACTTCAACTTCCTGAGTAACTGGGACTACAAGTGCACACCTATGAGCCTGGCTAGTTTATTTTTTATTTTTACTTTTTTTTTTTTTTGTAGAGTTAAGGTCTTCCTTTGGTGTCCAGGCTGGACTTGAACTCCTGGCTTTGAGCGATCCTCCTGCCTCAGCCTCCCAAAGTGCTGGGATTATAGGCATGAGCCGCTGTGCCTGGCTGGAGTCAGATTAAAGTGGATTAATCTTTCATCACCATCACTGACTATGTTTGGGACGCAGGACAGCTTATTTAATCTCTTTGAGCTTCTCTAATAATCCATGAAGTTGGGTTATATGTGCAGTGGCAGATTGCAGTAATAGTCCTAATGCTTCTCCCTTCCTTTCTGTGTTCACACTTTTTGCCATGTAATTTAGTAGTGCTGTCTCACTCTGACACTATATGACATGCTCTAGCCAACAAGATATTATCAAATGTGATACAAGCAGAGGCTTAAGTAATGCTAGTGTGTTTCCAGTTGTACTCTTGGTCCTCTGCCATGATCATGAAAGCAAACTTGGTCCAGCATGTTGGAAGATGAGAAAGACATAGAGAGGAGGAAACTTGGCCCAATTCCGTCAACCAAAGCCAGCCTAGATTATCCAATATCCAGTTAATGCTCAGACATATGAGGAAGTCCAGGATAAGCCAGAAGAACCATGTAGATGACTCTCACACTAAATAATTTACTGAGTTTTAGGGTTGTTTGTTATTCAGCATTATTGCAGAAAAATAAAACTAATACAGATGTCTGCCCACAGAGTTGTTTTGAGAATTAAATAACAACTCCCTTTCCTAGAATTTCTGCAATGTATTCATCTTTAAAAAGAAAAAAAAGTTATTGAACATAATTTTCTACCATTTGTCTAACATTTAGAGTTTATTAGTTACTTTCACTTTTATTTACTTCCTTTAATAAAATAACTGCTATTCCCAGGCTTCTTGGTTGCAGATGACAATACAATAATTTAAGCAAAAAGTAATCAATTAAAGAGTACGAATTGGCTCACAAAATCTCAGAAAGAGGCAGAGAACCAGGCTTGGATGCTATACCATTAACAACACTATGGGCAGGAAAAGCTTCCATTCATTCTGTTGCCCCATGCTAGTGAAAAATCTCTTGCCCTTGATGCTTGCTGTTTGATTTCTGCTGCACTCAGGCTTGAAGCCATGAACTCGACCCCCACTGCTCTAGAAGAACCAGAAGTCTTACTAGTGATCCTGCCAGAATATTTGCTCTCCCTGGGTGGCCACTGCCTCATGATAGTTTCTGTTTAGAAGTCTTGAATGGCTGTGTATAAATGGAGAGAATTATGTCACATGACTGTACCCTTTCTGGAAGAAAGTTCAGGAAATGTAGTTTTGCTGTTAGAACAGAAGGCAAGTTAGAAGGAGATTAGAATGGGTACTGGATGAAGCAAACCACAGTATCCACCACACAAACTCTAGGGTCAATGGCCCTATCCACATGCCACAGATGAGCAATCGGAGGTTCAGAGAAACTCAATGACTTGCCCAAGGTCATATAGATTGTAGAGGGCAGTACCACCTGAACACACGTTTTTAGATTTAAGAGCTTCATTACTTCTATAACACAACAACTTCCCCCATCTCTTTGAGGGTGGCCTATCTAGGCATAGGTGACATTGCTGGCTGGGGAAGTGAGGGGAACAGCTGACTTGGTCTGAGTTTCCAGGAGACTACTGAAGTTCCAGCATGAAGCCACTTTGCCAGAAGTAGTGCCAGAGGGATATCATATATTAAAGATTCAAAGTCTTTAAAAACAAAACAAAACAAAACAAAACCTATGGTAGGCTTCAGGAATCAGCATGAAACAAGACCTTATAGCCAGCCCAGATGTCCAATCAGGAAAGCCTTCCAGGTTCCTGAACTGTCAATAGGGCTTCAGGCTAGGATTCCTTCTGAGTGACCACAACTTGACATGACAGTATGATGCTTGCCCAGCATGTATTTGCTGCAGGCCCTAGAGATATGTCAGGAAAATACTGCTGGGGGTCCCATTTGTGTATGTTTCCTCAGCACACAGCTAAAAACTTCAGATGCCTGCAGATAATGAGACCATAAACCCATGACATCTTACCCATCCTTCTCCTGCTTCCCTCTCATTTTTTAGACCATAGGAAGGGTTACTTTGAGACAGATTGATGAGTAGGACCCAGACTAGAATATGCCGATTGAGTAGAAATCCTCATCAAACTAGTAGTGGTTTCACTTATATTATTCTAATGAATAGAAAAGATAACTGAGTTTTTTGTTTTGTTTTGTTTTGCAGAATGTGGGATAAGGGTATCTTTCCAGCTGAGAAAGCAATAAAGAACCTTTCCCACTCTTTAGTGTAACGGGTTGATTTGAGTGCAGTCTGCTCTTCCTCATGCTAGACATGGCTGCTCTCTTTGACTGTTCCCTTAGACACATATTCAGCCATATCAATCTCTTGTTCCCATGCCTGAGCTTTTAAGAGCTCAACCAATGTATCCTTCAGAGTGGCAAAATGCATTCTGAATTAGAGTAAAAGGCTTTTCATTTATTCTTTGAGACCCATTATACATAACAAATAACAACTTTGACTTATTTCTAAATGTCATGTAGCAAAACATCTGCTACCCAGGGAAAATGTGGACCTCCCCAGAACATGAGCTTACCTTTGCACCTGCTGTGAACATCTAGTGATTTCTTAGAATTCATGTTCCAGCCAATTGACAGGAGAAGCAGCAGACTGGATTAAAGAACAGAACACTATTTTAGCTGATTCTACTGCATTTCAAGTGGTTTGTACTAAGTAGCTTTTCCATGTATTTGGATAGTGTACCTGAAGAGCAGAGACGTTTACTTTTCTGTTTTATTGGTTATCATTATCATTCAAAATAAGAAAATTGAATAGGAGGCAGAATGGTCCAGCTGAAAGAGGTTTGATTTAAAACACAGGGAGTAGGAGTTATTGTCCTAGGTATTAGGACTGCTTATTTTCAGAAAATCTAATCAATTAAGAGATTAGAGGTAAGAAAGAGCATTATATATATATTATTAATATATATTATTATGTTATATATCATATGTTATATATTTTTAAAATCTTTATTTTTATTAATAATAAAACTGATATTGAAGAATGTGATTTATATCTGTAGGCAAGTGGGTGTTTTTAAATACTGAATTACAGAATAAGAAAGACTTTCCATCTAAATCCCAGGCAGTTCTGAACAAGTACAGGACTTCTCTACTCCCTTAAAAGCAAATCCTGACCCTATAAAACATATAGGGTTCTTCTATAATGGCTGGGCAAGCTGAAAGTTAGAAACCCTATAGCTAGAGAAACAGGATTGATTTGGAGTGTGTGCATGTCCAGGGGCGTTGTTAAAAGCAATAGCAATCTTTAAGGCAAATAATTGAAAAGCCAACTTGAAATAATGGTTGCAAGTCACAAGTCAACAGACTAGCCAAAAATTTAATAGGGGTATCTAACAGGCTTAAAAATGAAAAGAGGAATAAAAGAAAAACTGATTGCAAGCATTAGTGGCTGTACAATCTGGGGGAGACAAATTCTACAGAATTAGTCAAATAAAGTCACTAAACAAATAACAACAACAATAAAAACCCTGGAAATAACAACTTCTGGGAAGAATCAGAATCCAGAATTCCTATAATACGTCATCTAAAATATCACTTGTAAAACAATAACAACAAACAAGACGTGCAAAGAAGCAGAAACCCTATAGCTAGAGAAACAGGATTGATTTTAAGTGTGTGCATGTCCAGGGGCATTGTTAAAAAACAGTAGCAATCTGTAAGGCAAATAAATGAAAATCCAACTTGCAATACTGGTTGCAAGTCACAAGTCAACAGACTAGCCAAAAGTTTAACAGGGAGATCTAGAATGAGATAGCCATTGTGTACCTTGATAAGCTGCCACTATCCCTGTTGATCTTTGTTGTTCTGGAAGGCTACACACATAGGTGCAGCTGTGTGCATAATCTGGAGACACCAGAGAAGGCTTTAACTAACTATTCATCCATGGCTGAATATGAGACCTCATAAACTTACGGAGGAGATGCAAGAAGGCATGTCAGAAAGTAAACTGTATCAGATTTGTAAACTGCCTGAAGGTTGAAAGTGTTCTCCAACCCACAAACAGATCCATTGTCAAAGGGTAGAAATGTTACTGAATCAAGATGTTTAAGTACTGCCTCTGACCACTCAACATGATCACTACACTATGCTTACCAGGGGTAATCTCTAGAATCCAGGCTTAAAATGAAAAGAGGAGTAAAAGAAAAACTGATTGGAAACATTAGTGGCTGTGCAATCTGGGGGAGACAAATTCTACAGAAATAGTCAAACAAAGTCACTGAACAAAACAACAACAATAAAAATCCTAGAAATAATGACAACTTCTGGGAAGAATCAGAATCCAGAATTCCTATAATATGTTATCTAAAATATCACTTGTAAAACAACAACAACAAAAAAAACAAGATGTGCAAAGAAGCAGGAAAATATGACCCATACTCAGAAAAAAAGTAGTTAAAACATACTATATTTGACGGGTACAGATTTGGACTTCGCAGAAAAAGACTTCAAAGCAGCTATTATAAATCTGTTCAAAGGTGAAAGCAAACCATGTTTAAAAAGTGAATGGAAAGTATTATTATAATAATTCACTAGAGAATATCAATAAAGAGATATAAATTACCAAAAAAAAGAACCAAATGGAAGTTCTGGAGTTGAAAACTACAGTAATTGAAACAAAAAATTTACTCAAGGGGCTCAACAGCAGATTCAAGATGTCAGGAGAAAGATTTAGCAAACTTGAAGATAGATAAATAGGACTTATCCAATTGGAAGAACAGAAAACAAATAGAGAAAGATGAACAGGGCCTCAGAGACCTATAGGACACCATTAAGCACAGCAACATATGTTTCATGGGAGTCTCATAAGCAATTGAAAGAAAGAAAGAGGGGAAAGAATATTTGAGGAAATAATGCCCAAAAACTCACCAAATTTAATTTAAAAAATAATCCTCACATCCAAGAACCTCAGTGAACTCCAAATAGGATAAACACACACACACACAAATCACATTTAGATATATCATAGTCAAACGATTGAAAACCAAATATAAAGAAATAATTCTAAGATCAGCAAGAAGTAAAAAAACACTCACTGTATACAGAGGAATGAAAATAAGATTCACAACTGACTTCCTACTAGAAATAGAGGCCGGAAGGCAGAATTATTGACATATTCAAAGTGCTGAAAGACAAAAACCTATCAACCAAGAATTCTATTTCCAGCAAAACTATTCTGCACAAAGATATTCTCAGATAAACAGAGACTAAATGAATTTGTGGCTAGCAGACCCGACTTACGAGAAAGAGTAAAGAAAGTTTTCTGGACTGAAAGAAAATGACACTAGGTGATAGCTTGAATTCATGGAGAAATAAAGAGCACTTGTAAGTTAATTATGAAGATAAATATAAAAGACAATAAATATATGTTTCTTTTCTCATAACTGATTTAAAAGACAATTGCATGAAATAATAACTTTAAAATCTATTGTTGGGCTTATAACATATAATGATGTATATGACTATAATAACACAAAGAAGGAGAAAGAAAATGGAGATATATTTTAACAAAATTTCCATATTTTATTAGAAGTAACTTAGTATTAATCTAAAGTATATTATGAAAAGTTAAGGTGCATGTTGAAATCTCTGGAAAATTTATTAAGAAAACAACTCAAAATGTATAAATAAATCCAACAAGGAGTTAAAATGGTACAGAAGAAAATATCTATCTTACACAGAAGAAGGCAATTAAGGAGGAGCACAAAAATCATGAGACATACAAAAAAGTATCAAAATGCAGATATAAATCCATCCATATCAATAGTTACATTAGATGTAAATGAATTAACTGCTTCTATCAAAAAGCAGATTGTCAGACTGGATAATAAAAGAAGATCCTACTATATGCTGTATCCAAAACACATATTTTAGATTGAGTCAAATACGTTGAAAAGTAAAATAATGGAAAAAGATATACCATGCAAACAACCAAAATAGAGCTGGAGTCATCATACTAATATCAAAGAAATAGACTTTAAAACAAAAAGTCTTATTAGAAACAAGATGTATAGGATATCAGGAAAATGGAACAATTAAAATATATATGCAACTAACAACAGAGTCCCAAAACAAGTGAACTAAAAACAGAAAGAACTGAAGGGAGAAATAGGCAATTCTGTAATAATAGTTGGAGATCTCAATATCATACTCTTAATAATTGATAGGCCAACTAGAAAGAAAATCATCAGTTATATGGAGAATTTGAACAACACTATCAATTATTTTGACCTAACTAGTATCTTAGAGCACTCCATCCAACAGCAGCAGAATGCATATTCTTTTCAAGCACACATAAAACAATTATTTAGAATAGATATGTGATAGAGCATAAAACAGTTCTCAATAAATTGAAAATAATTGAAGTTATGACAAGTATGTTGTCCAACAAAACCAGTATCGCATTAAAATCAACAAGTGAAAGAAATTTGGGAAATCCACAAATATTTGGCAATTAGACAATGCAATTCTAAATAAACTGTGAGTTAATAAATCACAGAGGAAATTAGGAAATATACTGAACAAGAATGAAACCAAGCATCAAAATTTGTGGGGTCCAGCTAAGGCAGTACATAGAGGAAAATTATAACTTTTAATGCCTATATTAGAATAAAGGAGGCCAGGCACAGTGGCTCATCCCTGTAATCCCAGCACTTCGGGAAGCCAAGGTGAGAGGATTGCTTGAGCTCAGAAGTTTGAGACCAGCCTGGGCAACATAGTGAGAGCTCGCCTCTATGAAAAATTTTAAAAAATTATCCTGGGGTGGTGGCATGCACCTGTAGTCCCAGTTACTCTGGTGGCTAATATTAGAGGATCACTTAAGCCCAGGAGGTCGAGGCTGCAGTGAGCTGTTATTACACCACTGCACTCCAGTCTGGGCAACAAAGTGAGATCCTATCTCAAAAAAAAAAAAAAAAAAAAAAAAAAAAAGAAAAGAAAAAAAAGAAAAAAGAAAGATCTCAGACCATTGACCTGTGTTTCCACTTAAAAAAACTAGAAAAATAATAGCAATTCAAACCCAAAGCAAGTAGAAGTAAGGAAATACAGTTGTTTTTTGTTATCTGTGGGGGATTTTTTCCAGGATCCCTTACAGATAGCAAAATCTGTGGATACCCAAATCCCTTATATAAAATGGCATAGCATTTGCATATAACCACCTATATACTTTAACCCATCTCTAGATTACTTATAGCACCTAATGTAAATGCTATGTAAATACTTGTTACACTGTAATTTTTAAAATTTGTGTTATTTTTATAATTATAGTGTTGTTTTTTTATTGTTTTTTTCCAAATATTTTCAATCCACAGTTGGCTGAATTCAATGATGTAGAACCTATGGATATGAAGGGACAACTGTAATACAAATTAGAGTGGAAAACAGTGAAACAGGAAACAGAAAAACAAAAAAGTAGAGAAATTCAACAAAACTAAAAATTTAATGAAAATATTAATAAAATTTATGAAACTTTTACTATACTGATCCAGAATAGAAGAGACAAAAGGCAAATGAAAAAAATTGGAATGAAAGAGATGACATTACTAACCACCTTACAGAAATTAAAAGGCTTAAGGGAATTCTATGAACAACTTTATGCCAAAAATTTAGACAACTTACATGAAATGAAGAAATTCCTAGAAAGATGCAAATTTAACACAATTGACTCAAAGATTAAAAATGTGAATAGATTAAAACAAGCAAAGAAAATGAGTTAGTAATTAAAGATTTTCTGACAAAGAAAAGCCCCAGCCTAGATGGCTTTACTGGCGAATTCTAACAAATATTTAAAAAAGAATTAATGCCAATCCGTTGCAAACTCTTCCAAAATATAGAAGAGGAGGAAACACTTCACAACTCTTTTTATGAGGCCAGTGTTAACTTGATACCAAAGTCAGAAAAAGATATTACAAGAAAGTTAAACAGTAGATCCATATTCCTCATAAATATAGATGCAAAACTCCTCAAGATAGTATTAAGAAACTGAATTCAGAAACATATAGATAAAGAGATTCTACTTCACAATCAAGTGAAATTTATCTCAGGAATACAAGATTGGTTTAACATCCATAAATCATTTAACATAATATACCATATTAATACATTAAAGGACAAAAACCTTATAATCATCTCAATACATGCCAAAAAAGTATTTGACAAAATTCAACACCCATTTACTACAAAAACTTTCAGTAAATTAGGAGCAGAAGGAACTTCTTCTAGCTGATAAACCATATCTAAGGAAACCTAACCTTCTATCTTAAAAGCTATAGCTAATGTCGTACTTAATGGTGAAAGACTGAATGCCTTTCACTTCAGATCAGGAACAAAATAGGAAGTCTGGTCTCCCCATCTCTGTTTAACACTGTACTGGAGATTCTAGCCAGGAATTGGCAAGGGTTAAATTTGGCCTGCATTCAGTTTGTGTACAGCCCACAAACAAGAATGGATTTTACATTTTTGAATAGTTGTAAACAAAAAAACAGAGAAGCAGAAAACAAAGGAGAAAATGTGTCAGACTTTGTCTTGAAAAAAAGATATTTTCTATCTGTCCCTTTTTAGAAAAGTTTGCTCATCTCTGACTATAAAACATCAGAAAGCTTCTACTACTACTACTAATAGCTACCATTTACCGTGCTTACTATCAACCAGTCCCCATCCTTTGTTGAGCACTGGAGATATATTATCTCAGTTCTTCTTTATAACAATTTTTCTATTTAAAAGGCCCTTCTGCATCTGCTGAAGCAAACTCAGTTTAACTTGATTATTTCCGGAAAGATCCTATTTCCAAATAAGGTCACGTTCAGAGATATTAGAGATTAGGACTTCAGCATTTGAATTTTTGGAGGGCATACTTCAGCCCATAATAGCGTATATGTGCATGTATGCATGCATGTGTGTGTGCATGTGCGTATGTGTGTTTTCTGTGCTTCGGAGACAGATACACAGAGATGAGATGGAGAGGGTTGGTTTCAGAACGGAGGGGAGGAGCAGATACAGGCAAATATGTCCAAATGGTTTCAGGTTGAGTGTGATTGGAAAAGATTGAGAGAAGGTTACTACTTTAATTAGTAAGAGGTTACTGGTGATTTTGGAAATAACAGTTTTGAAAATGCTGAGAGAACAGAATCCATATTGCAAGGGCTTAAGGTCCACTAACCTTACACTTTCTATTTCAAAGGCCCTTCCACATCCACTGAAGCAACTGAGCTTTACAACCCCACTGGGAGGAGGGCATATTTATGACCCATTTCATGGATGAAAAAATAGAGGCTCAGAGAATCACTCTTCTTTTATGTCAGAGCACATCTGAAGTGAATTTTGGACTGACTTATAACAGTTCTGATGTGGTTTTTCTCTGTTTTTATTTAATTCTTGGGTCACCAATGTAAATTTTCAAATCTTTTGTGATATAGTGCAAACAAATGGGTTTGGAGTCAGACAGCTTCATCAAGTATGGGTAACCCTGAGCAGGCCATTTTTTTTTTTTCATTCTCGGGAATGAGATGAGAATGTTTATATATACTTTGCAGAGTTGTTGTGGGGCTTAAAAGAAAGAGAGTAAGTAGGGTGGCTAGGTAGTTAATATCAGTTTGCTTCCTCATTATCTCCCTAAATCTACAGTACAACAGGCACTGTGTATTATAGTCCCTCAACTCTCTCCTAACAGCAAGCAATTCCCTGTACATAAAACAATGCTGAGTTAATTGTGATTCTTTTTCCCTCAATAACACTTGAATATTTAGCTACATTAAGACAGTTATATGGAACTTATTTTTTTTCTTTCATCTGAGCCTTAATTTTGGCAACCAAATTAAAATGTAACATTTTTATCACAAATATTTGTGGAGCATTTTAATTCATTTAACAAATATATGAGAGTTTCTTCTATATGTCAGGTATTGTGCCTGGCACTGGACACACAAAAGTTATAAGGTGGCTTTTGTTCTAAGTGAGAAGAATAGCCCACAGTGGGCAGCTCTGGTGCAGGTAGAGTGCTGACCTCGGTTCCCAAGGACTTTAGGTTGAGTTCTAGCTTATCATTTTCCTGCCAGCTGTGTGATTCTGGGCTAGTTACTGAAATTATCTGAGCTCCAGTTTCTTCTTCTGTAAAATACAATTAATAATATGACTCTAACTTCTATAGTTTAAATGTCTGTACCCCAAAAAATTCATATTGAAATTTAATTTACCATTGTAACAGTGTTGAGAGGTGGGACTTTTTTTTTTTTTTTATTGAGACAGTCTCTCTCCGTCACCCAGGCTGGAGTGCAGTGGCACAATCTCAGCTCACTGCAAGCTCCGCCTCCCAGGTTCATGCCATTCTCCTGCCTCAGCCTCCCAAGTAGCTGGGACTAGAGGTGCCCACCACCATGCCTGGCTAATTTTTTGTGTTTTTAGTAGAGACGGTGTTTCACCGTGTTAGCGAGGATGGTTTCAATCTCCTGACCTTGTGATCTGCCTGCCTCGGCCTCCCAAAGTGCTGGAATTACAGGTGTGAGCCACCGCGCCCGGCTGGAGGTGGGATTTTTAAGAAGTGATTAGCCCATGAGAGTTCTGCCCTCATTGGTGGAATTAATGCTGTTATAAAAGGCTGAGTTTGGCCCCCACTTGCTCTCTTGCCCTCTTGCCTTCTGTCTTGTGATGGTAAAGGCCCTCACTAGAGGCCAGCACCTTGATATTGGTTTTCCCAGCCTGCAGACTGTGAGCCAATGAATTTCCGTTCATTACACATTACTCAGTCCCAGGTATTCTGTTATAGTCACACAAAATGGACTAAGAGACCAATTCCATCTTTTTTTCAGTGAGAGAAACCCCAGTTTTTAATAATGTTTTACATATTGGATTTGAAGAGAAAGGATTAAACCTATTTTTTTTACATGACTGATCCCAGGGAAGCTTTATCTATAGTGAATATTGTCTTAAATTATAGACTTTTTGCCAGTCTGTACTTTATCTGTTTTTTACATGCATATAGTCTAAGTGAGCTAGGTTTTCTTCACCTATGTAAAGAAGAGCTTTCTAAGATGGCACAGAGCATACCCACCTTGTGGATATGGCTCCCTCGAATGCCTACAGGGTTAAGAACATCAGTGAATGACATGGAGGTCAGATTATATGTGGCTCTGTGTACAGGGTCTGTCTGGAGAGAGTGATGGCTACCCAGCTCTTATAGAATGCTTTTGGAATTCTGTTAAGAATGTGGAGTGTGAGCCCAGTGCTATTAGATCTTCCATCATTTCACAAGAAGCCAGAAACCTGGATTTCTATGTGAATGCTTCCTTTTTAAAACCTTGGTTATATATTTTTTATGGTGTGACACATATAGACGCATCTGTGGGCTGTGATCAAGCCTCTGATCACCAGATTGCAACTTCAGTAGAGATAATAACCCGAGACTTTGGAACCAGAAGAACTACTGCCATTATTAGCTGGAAGGATGACCTTGAGAAAGTTATTTAACTTTCTGACTCAGTTTATCCATCTGCAAAATTGAAGATTATATTGACTCCAATGCAGTAGCAAAAAATTTATGTGTAAAACCTAGCACAAGACAAACAATTTAAAAATGGGCAAAAGTTTTGAATAGATATTTTACTGAAGAAAATATGGTTAATAAGCATGCAAAAAGAGTATGAACATCACTAGTTATTAGGGAAATGCAAGTTAAAACCACTGAATGAAATACTGAACAGAATGGCTATTATCAAAAAGTCAAATAATAACAAGTGTTAGTGTGCCCGGAATTGGTTCCTTCCAGTGAGTTCTTGGTCTTGCCGACTTCAAGAATGAAGCCGTGGACCCTGGCAGTGAGTGTTACAGTTCTTAAAGGTGGTGTGTCCGGAGTTTGTTCCTTCAGATGTTCAGATGTGTCCAGAGTTTCTTCCTTCCGGTGGGTTCGTGGTCTCGCTGACTACAGGAGTGAAGCCACTGACCTTCGCAGTGAGTGTTGCAGCTCTTAAAGGTGGTGCATCCGGAGTTGTTTATTCCTCCTTGTGGGTTTGTGGTCTCACTGACTTCAGGAATGAAGCTGCAGACCCTCGTGGTGAGTGTTACAGCTCATAAAGGTAATGCGGACCCAAAGAGTGAGCAGCAGCAAGATTTATTGTGAAGAGTGAAAGAACAAAGCTTCCGCAGAATGGAGGGGGACCCGAGCAGGTTGCTGTTGCTGGCTCAGGTGGCCAGCTTTTATTCCCTTATTTGGCCCCACTCACATCCTGCTGATTGGTCCATTTTACAGAGTGCTGATTGGTGCGTTTACAGTCCTTTAGCTAGACACAGAGTGCTGATTGGTGCATTTGTACAGAGTGCTGATTGGTGCATTTACAATCCTTTAGCTAGACACAGAGCACTGATTGGTGCATTTTTACAGAGCGCTGATTGGTGCATTTACAATCCTTTAGCTAGACACAGAGTGCTGATAGGTGCATTTTTGCAGAGTGCTGATTGGTGCATTTACAATCCTTTAGCTAGACACAGAGCACTGATTGGTACATTACAATCCTCTAGCTAGACACAGAGCGCTGATTGGTGCATTTACAATCTTTTAGCTAGACACAAAAGTTCTCCAAGTCCCCACCCGACCCAGAAGCCCAGCTGGCTTCACCTCTCAATCCCCCCTCTAAACAGGACACCCCAACTGCTGTTGGAATTGGGTGATGACTGCTCTAGCTACTTCCTGCTGGATGGGGTGAAGAAGGGGCCCTGCAGTTGTACTGTCCTCCAGAGGGGAACTCTTTAGGTCAGTCAGAGGGCCAGCAGGTCGGTCCAGGGGTCCTTGGTAGAAGTTGTTATTTGAGCTCATTTGGGGTTCCATTTGTAAGACCATTGTAGCTTGATGGCCTTGATCCTAGAGGAAACAAATTTGGCAAGGAGGTTAAAAATACAGGGCCCAAAGGTGAGTAATAGCAAGATGGCTGTCACAGGACCTAGAAAGGGGAGAAACCATGTTGCCCAACTCCAGAGGTTGGTATAAGAGTTTGAAAGGTGTTGTCTGATTTCAGAAGCCTTTTCCTGTAAATGCCAGGTGACATTTCATACTATCCCCAACTGGTTAGTGTAAAAACAACACTCTTCCCCTAAGAAGGTGCAGAGTCCTCCTTTCTCAGCAGTGAGGAGGTCTAGGCCTTGGCAGTTTTGGAGAGTCACTGCTGCCAAAGAGTCTATTTGGGACTGTAGAGTCAGGATAGGTTTTGTTATTTCTTGCAAACTGTCTGAGAAATCCTTTGAGAGTGTGTGGTAGTAGGATAATGAAGTAGATAAACTGGCTATTCTGGTTCCTGTAGCAGTAGCCATTCCTAACCCTACAAGTAGGAGTATTCATTGTATGGCTCTGCACTGATGGGCTTGAGCTTTGAGGGGTACTGATAGGGTCTGATTTCCTGGGGCAATGTTAATGTTGGGACTTAGAAAGACTAAGGTGCAGGTGCCTTTCCAGTTAGTAGGGAGGCAGATACAGGTTGACGTTCCACATAAGAAGAATATACTTCGGCTGCATAGACAGAACTGGTTGTGTATGTTAAAAAGGTGTGTGAGTTTGTTGTTTTCACTTTCCCATACTCCTAGAGTACTTGCCAAGGTAGCTCCGGTGTGTGGCTGGAAAGGGGTTTTGGGAGCAAACTGAGTGGCTCCCTGTGTTCTATTTTCCCATTGGAGAAAAAACCATTTTGTATCTACTAGGAACCATTCAAGAGAGTGATTAAAAGAGGGGATGAGAAGGCATTCACTAGTGGTGGGGTCGCTGCTGCAGGGGGTTCGGGGTGAATGGTCATGCAGGGAGTGTGTTTGCCATTACAAAACCTGGACTGTTTGTTAAGCAGGGAAGAGATGATGATTTTTGGAGGCCCTGAGAAGCGGACAAGCCATCTGAATGGAGCTGTTTGGGTAACTCAGCAGTTACTATGATCAGTTGGGGTTTGAAGTGGTAGAGTGTAATTCCACTGGCTGGCTTCAGGTATAAGTACCTTTCCTTCTTCTGTCATGAACCACCCCAAGGGGAGAAAACTATACCCCTGTGAAAATCCCCATTCTGTTTCAGTTGGGGAATACTGGGGCTTAATATCTTGGAGAGGGTTGTTCCATACCAAGCATCCTTCTGTAGGTATTTCTAATGGGAGGTTCTGCCTGGCAGCGGTTTTGGCCTCAGCATCTGCCCAGTGGTTTCCTTCTGCCTTTTCTCCTTCACCTTTCTGATGGCTTGGCAGTGTAAGACTGCCACCTCCTTGGGTTTTTGCACTGAGTGCAATAACTCCATAATTTCCTTGTGGTATTTAATGGGGGTTCCCCCAGAGGTTAGGAACTCCCTTTCTTTCCATATTGCAGCATGGGCATGTAGGATTAGATAAGCATACTTGCTATCTGTATATACATTTATTCTTCTTCCTTTTCCCAGTTCTAAGGCTCGGGCAACTGCCACTAGTTCTGCTAACTGGGCACTGGTCCCTGGGGGAAGAGGCTTACTTTCAACTACAGTTACATCACTAACTATGGCATAACCTGCCCTTCGTATCCCATTCTCCACAAATGAACTTCCATAGGTATATAGGTTAAGGTCAGGATTAGCTAAGGGGACTTCTAAGAGATCATCTCGGGCGGCATAAGTCTGTACTATAATTTGTTGGCAGTCATGCTCAATTGGTTCCCCATCCTCTGGGAGAAAAGTGGCAGAGTTGAGGGCTACACACATACGTATTTGAAGCACTGGTCCCTCAAGGAGTAGCACCTAGTATCTAAGTAGGCAGTTGTCTGATAGCCATAAACTTCCTTTGACACCTAGTATGCCATTTACATCATGAGTAGTCCAGTGAGATCCTTTCCTTGTATTATTTTGATAGCCTCTGATGCTAAGACGGCCACCACCACAACTACCCGTAAACAGTAAGGCCAGCATTTTGCTACTACATCAATTTCCTTACTTAGGTATGCCACTGGTTGTGGGATTGTTCCACAAGTCTGAGTAAGGACTCCAAGAGCTATCCCTGCTCTCCCTGACATATAAAGAGGAGTTTTGTCCTTTGGGAAGGCTTAAAGCTGGAGGTTGTACTAGGGCCTGCTTTAAGGTTTTGAAGGCTGTTTCTGCCTCTGGTTCCCATTCTACTAGATGAGTATTTGCCCTCTGGTTCTCCTTGATTAGAGTATAAAGGGGCCTGGCTATCTCGCTGTATCCGGGGATCCATAGTTGGCAAAAGCCAGTGATTCCAAGGAACCCCTGCACCTGTTTTAATGTCTTAGGGTGAGGATAAGCCAGAACAGGCTGTACTCGTTCCTTGCTGAGGGCCCTGGTCCCTTTGGCTAAGATTAGGCCTAAATATTTGACCTGCTGTAGGCAAAGCTGGGCCTTCAACCTAGATGCCTTGTACCCTTGATTAGCTAGAAAGTTCAAGATATCTAGAGTAGCATGCTGGCATGAGGCTTCCAAATTGGCAGCCAAAAGTAAATCATCCACATACTGAAGGACCAGAGTGTCTGGACTTAAGAAGTGGCCTAGATCTTGGGCCAGTGCCTGGCCAAACAGATGAGGGCTATCCCTAAACCCTTGGGACAAGACCATCCATGTAAGTTGGGATGTGTGGTCTGTGGGATCTTCAAAGGCAAAGAGAAACTGGGAGTCAGAGTGCAGGGGAATACAGAATAAGGCATCCTTGAGGTCCAGAACAGTGAACTATTCTGCTTCCTCTGGTATTTGAGAGAGCAGGGTATAGGGGTTGAGTACAACTGGATATGGAGGAATTACTGCCTCATTGATGAGTCTAAGATCTTGCACTAGCCTCCACTGACCATTCAGCTTTTGTACTCCCAGAATTGGAGTGTTGCAGGGACTGCTGCATTTCCTTACTAAGCCTTGAGCTTTTAAATGTTTAACAATATCCTGTAATCCTTTATGAGCTTCAGGCCTTAAGGGATATTGCCTTTGATAAAGAAAAGTGGTGAGGTCTTTAAGCCTGATTTGGACTGGGCGGGCATTTTTTACCCTTCCAAATTGTCCTTCCAATGCCCAGACTTCAGGGTTGATTCCCTCCTCAAGTAGGGGACAACAAATGGGTAACTTGTTCCCCATATTCATGTAGATAATAGCTCCAGCTTTGGCTGATATATCCCTTCCTAATAAGGGTGTGGGACTTTCAGGCATAACAAGAAAGGCATGTGAAAAGAGCAAAGTCTCCCAATTACAACCGAGGAGGTGGGAGAAAGTTAGAGGCTGTCCCAGGATTCCTCGGATGGTAACGGACCTTGAGGACAGTCGTCTGGGGCAGGAGATTAACACTGAGAAGGCTGCACCAGTGTCCAGGAGGAAGTCAATTTCCTGGCCCTCAATGGTTAAACATATCCGGGGCTCAGTGAGGGTGATGACATGAGCTGGCACTTGCCCCGGGCATCCTCAGTCCTGTTGTTGGATCATCTGGTTGGGGGCTTCTGGCCCAGAGACACTGTGCTCTCTGGGGCAGTGTGCCTTCCAGTGATTGCCTCGGCATAGCAGACATGGACGAGGGGGCAGATTGTTTCTCGTTGGACAATCTTTTTTAAGGTGTCCTTGAAAACCACACTGGTAACAAGCCCCACCTTGTGATTGGCCTGCTCCATTTACTGTCCTCTCTGAACCACCAAGGTTTGTTTGTCTGAGGGCCATGACAAAGGCTGGGGTCTTTCTCTGATCTTGCTTTTCCTTTTGTGCCTGTTCCTCTTGGTCCCTATTATAAAACCAACGTTGCCAGGTTTAATAATGCCTCCAGATTTTGTTCAGGGCCCAGGGCTCGCCTTTGGAGCTTTCTTCTGATATCTGCGGCTGATTGGGTAATAAACTTATCTTTTAGGATCAATTGACCCTCTAGTGAGTTGGGTGACAGGGGAGTCTATTTTCTTAAGGCCTCCCATAGCTGCTCGAGGAAGGCAGAAGGATTTTCTTCCTTTCCCTGAGTTATGGTGGACATCATTGAATAATTCTTGGGCTTTTTCCTAATTCTCCTTAGTCCTTCTAGAACACAGGTCCACAGATGTTTACAACTCCAGTCCCCATGATCTGAGTCGAGGTCCCAGTGGGGATCCATACTGGGGATGGCTTGCTGACCAGTAGGGAATTTGTCCCTTTCTTTGGCTGTGATTCTATCATTTACTTGACTAAGATACCAGGTATCTCCAAACTCTCGGGCTGCAGCTAAAGCTGCATTCTTTTCATTAAATGCCGGGGTTTGATCTAATAATAGCATGACATCTCTCCAAGTGAGATGGAAGATTTGCCCTAGACCCTGTAGGACATCTATGTACCTATCAGGATCATCTGAAAACTTCCCCAAGTCTGCCTTGATCTGCTTCAAATCAGAGAGGGAGAAGGGGACATGTACCTGGGTCGGGCCAAATCCCCTTCCCCCTACAGCTTGAAGGGGACATAACCGATAGCCTGGGGGTTTTTGTGGTCCTTTGGAGATTTCTTTGCTTGTTTCCTTCCAGGTGGGGAAGATTAGAAGTGGCTTATCATCAATAGAAATGGGAGCTATAGGGAGGCTAGGATATGGGGGTAAGCTGAGAGGTCCTCCTGTGGGGTGTAAATTGCAAGCTTTGCATAGTTGTGTATTCTCCTTCAATGAAAAGAAAGCTTGGACATAAGGTATTTCACTGCATTTGCCTTCCCTCTTACAGAAAAGGTCAAGCTGCAGAATAATATTGTAATTTATACTTCCCTCAGATGGCTTTTTTTCCCCATCAGAGAGAGAATAATGAGGTGCCTCTCTTTCAGAGTTTGCAGGTCAAATTGTTCCCAATGGCTTAGGATGCATTTTAAGGGTGAGCCTGTTGATGCCTGAATGTTTCCCATTTGAAAGACAAAACCACACGTGGTTTTGGTTTGTTTGTTTCTCCCCCTGCCCAAGAACCCACAATGGTCCCTGGACCCTGCTGATCGGAATAGTTGTGCTCATCAACACAGCAGCAGAAACACCTCTTACCCAAGAACCCACAATGGTCCCTGGACCCTGCTGATCAGAATAGTTGTGCTCACTGATGCAGCAGCAGAAATGCCTCTTGCCCAAGAACCTGCAACGGTCCCTGGACCCTGCTGATTGGAATAGTTGTGCTCACTGACACAGCAGCAGAAACACCTCTGGCCCAAGAACCTGCAGCAGTTGCTGGACCCTGCTGATCAGAATAGTTGCACTCATCAACGTAGCAGCAGAAACACTAGTTTTCCTCCTAGACTGCAAGGAGGACCAAGGAATGTCAGATTTAGTGGCCCTTACCAATGCATTCTCGAAAACCTGCAACCTTGCCTGTCCTCCTAGACCACAAAGAGGACCGAGAAAAATCGGATTTAGTGGCCCTTATTGATGCATTCTTGAAAACCTGTTAGAGTCCTAAGCATTGTCATGTTAGTATTGGGACTTTACCCATGTCCTATAAAGATGTTATGCCCCAAAAATGAAGTGGAGGTCCATACCCTGAGGGAGAGAAGGGATCTCCAGGGTAGGAAGAGTGACACCTTTTGTCCTCACTTGAATAGGAAGGATGTCATTTCTGAAGCTCCCCATATCCTAGCTTCAGGAATAGCTTTTGTTAGGCCTACTTCTCTGAGGAGGGATCCTAAAATTCCAGGTAGTCTCCCCTATGATGGGGCTTTGGGCAAAAATTATGTCTTTCTGCTTGGTGAGCCCGTGTACCTAAAGAAGGGAATAGAGTCCTGGAGTTTATACTAGAAATCATAGGAGAAACTAGAAAAGCACCAGAGACAGGGAGTGGTTTTTAGAAGTGGGACTAGCCTCAGAGAAGAGAGACGAGAGGAAGTTTGTCTGACAGGCATTAGGACCCAGGAGGCAAGTGTCAGGATAGATAGCATAGACGGGCAAGTTTCGCTTGGGTGACATGACTTTGAGAGTTCCGCTCATGGCCACAGGGTCAACCAGCTTGTTGTTGGGACCCCAGAGCTGAATGGCTTTCCTCTCTGTCGACCCTTGGCTCAGCCCAGAAGTAAAGGAAAAGCGGAAGCTGCTTCCAGGCAAACCAGCGCTCCCAACTCTGAAGAGCTGGGGATTGTTAGAGAGCTCTTTCCCAGAAAGCCTGTTACCCATGTCTTTAATCTGGCAGCTGTGCTAGTCTCTTTTAACTGGCTGACAGGTGCCCGGTATTTAGCCCCTGAATTCTAAGGAAAAATAGGACAGAATAGCAAGTGAAAGGGGTCCAGTGGTTCTCACCACTTGGCGATAGTCGATAGTCCCATCTGGGTTGCCAAAATGTGTCCAGAATTGGTTCCTTCCAGTGGGTTCTTTGTCTCGCTGACTTCAAGAATGAAGCTGTGGACCCTCACAGTGAGTGTTACAGTTCTTAAAGTTGGTGTGTCCAGAGTTTGTTCCTTCAGATGTTCAGATGTGTCTGGAGTTTCTTCCTTCTGGCGGGTTCATGGTCTTGTTGACTTCAGGAGTGAAGCCACAGACCTTTGCCGTGAGTGTTACAACTCTTAAAGGTGGTGCGTCCGGAGTTGTTTATTCCTCCTGGTGGGTTCGTGGTTTCACTGACTTCAGGAATGAAGCCGCAGACCCTCGTGGTGAGTGTTACAGCTCATAAAAGTAATGCGGACCCAAAGAGTGAGCAGCAGCAAGATTTGTTGTGAAGAGTGAAAGAACAAAGCTTCCATAGCGTGGAAGGGGACCCAAGCAGGTTGCCACTGCTGGCTTGGGTGGCCAGCTTTTATTCCCTTATTTGACCCTGCCCACATCCTGCTGATTGATCCATTTTACAGAGTGCTGATTGGTGCATTTACAATCCTTTAGCTAGACACAGAGTGCTGATTGGTGCGTTTTTACAGAGTGCTGATTGGTGCATTTACAATCCTTTAGCTAGACACAGAACACTGATTGGTGCATTTTTACAGAGTGCTGATTGGTGCATTTACAATCCTTTAGCTAGACACAGAGTGCTGATTGGTGCATTTACAATCCTTTAGCTAGAC
The DNA here is from genome assembly GCF_000001405.40 of Homo sapiens. NCBI lineage: Eukaryota > Metazoa > Chordata > Mammalia > Primates > Hominidae > Homo > Homo sapiens. The sequence goes on along the minus strand of NC_000001.11, from coordinate 58,167,281 downwards.
AAAGAGCACTGATTGGTGCATTTTTACAGAGTGCTGATTGGTGCATTTACAATCCTTTAGCTAGACACAAAAGTTTTCCAAGTCCCCACCTGACCCAGAAGCCCAGCTGGCTTCACCTCTCATTAGGATATACAGAAACTGAAATACACATTGTTTCATATAATGCTAGTGAAAATGTAAAATGATACAGCCATTATGGCAGCAATTTGGCAGCTTTTTTTTTTTTTAATAGTTGGCTGAGTGCAATGGCTCATACCTATATTCCTAGCACTTTTAGGAGGCCAAGGTGCGTGGATTTCTTGAGGCCAGAAGTTCGAGACCAGCCTGGTCAACATGGTGAAACCCCATCTCTACTAAAAGCACAAAAATTAGCCAGCCCATGGTGGTGCACAACTGTAATTCCAGCTACTCTCGAGGCTGAGGCATGAGAATCACTTGAACCTGGGGGGCGGAGGTTGCAGTGATGATGTCACTACACTCCAGCCTGGGTGACAGAGCAAGACCCTGTCTCAAATTAAAAAAAAAAAAAAACGAACAAACAAAAACAACAACAAAAAATGTTAAACATGAGTTTACCATATAACCCAGCAACTCTACTCACAGATATCATGAAAACATGATTTGCCTATATGAAAACATATAGGAAAACATGTGTCCCTGAAAGACTTGTTTGGGAATGCACGTGGCAGCATTATTGATAGTATCCAAGGAAGTGGAAACACTTCAAATGTTCACGTAGTGGTGAAAGGATATACAAATATAGTATACCCAGGCAGTGGAATAAAATGTAATGAAATACTAATAATACTGAAATGTTGATGAACCTCAAAAATATTATGCTAAATAAGTAAGCCAGATGCAAAACATCACATACAATTCTATTTGTAACAAATATCTGGGAAAACAAGTCTATAGAGACAGAAGGTAGATTAGTGGTTGCCTGGAGCTTAGCGTGGGAACAGGGATTGACTACAAACAGACACAGGCATCTTTTTGGGGTGGCGATAATGTTCTAAAACTAGATTGCAGTGATAGTTGCACGGTTATGTAAATTTACTGAAAATCTTGGAATTGTACACTTAAAACCAGTAAATTTTACAGTGTGTAGATTATATCTCAATAGAGCTTTAAAAATACAAAATCATATCTAGCTTGATGTATAGTCATTGATTAATAAATGTGACTTCTTCTCTTCCTCTTTAAGTACAGAGAGGCAAAATTGCATAGCAATTAAGAATCCAGGCCCTGAAGCTGAACCCTGGTCTTTCCACTTACTTACTAACCATGTGTCCTTAAAAACATTACTTAGTCTCTCTAAGGCTCAGGCTCTTCATGGTGAACTGAAAACAACAACAGCTATCTCATGGAGTTTTACAAAGAATTAAATGAGGCCACACACATAAGATGTGTAGCATACAGTAAGCCCACAATCAATGACAGCAACATAGTCTTCCAGATCCAGGACCTCCTGTCTGCCCATTTCTTATCTTTACAACAGTGGTTAAAACAGAGTTCTCTTTCCTCTTATTCTTCACTGATCCCCAAAACCTCTGCCCACTCTGGGATTTTCTCTACAAAATTTTAGTTGGTTTATAGGTCTATCCTGTGGTCTAGGCTTGGAATACTGCTTAGCATTATCTGAACATGAGTTGCTAGCCACTTATATGAGAGTGTCACTTGGAGGTAGATAAGCAACTTTAATAACACTCAACATGGTAACATGCATGCTCTGTTGTATCTACTTACATATGGGAAGCTCGCCGCCCTTTTGCAGATGTTATCAAGTGGCTTCTAAGGCATTCCTGTCAGGTAGAGGGAGCGAGGACCGAGAAGAGAGCCTCCTTTTGCAGACTGATAAAAGGATGTACAGAGAATCGGGGAGGTTTGCAGGAATTATATGGCAAACAGATGGAGAGAGGTGACTAATGGGAAGGAGGTCCTTGAGGGTTCCTCACACAGTGGGGTCACACTCTCACATCCCTCCGGGCCAGGCACTTGGTGAGTAATCTTGATGTAGAAAACCAGAGCAGGTTCAGTCTGCCTTTCACTTCCCCTCAGTGGAGAGAGTTCTGGGACACATCTGTCTGTCTTTACTTCAAGAAAAAGCAACAGTGTGAATGTGGCGATTAATGTGGTCCTATGGGCATTAGGCAGTGGTCAGGACCTTGGTGAGCTAGGGGGTCCGGGCCCCTTTCAAAAGGAGCATTTGTTAATCAGTCTCATTTTGTTTCCATGTGGAAATGGGGCCTAGAGTGGCCAGAACTATGCTTCCTTTAAAAGTTAGAAAATCAAGTTTTTGTGTGACATTTCCTAATTTTAAAATATTGCTAACATTTTTTTAAATGTTAGCCAAATGAAATACATCTACCAAATAGATATAACCCCAGACCTAACCCCTATTCTAAAGTAATCTTCTGTATTCATTATATATGTTAAGCAGATGCTGAAAGGAGCTCATGAGGATATAGTGGAGGGGATTCTTGCATTTAATAAAGGGTGGGATAGCTTATTATTGAGGACTCTTCCTTTTTGTTTTATTCTATTGTGTTAGAGAACTGGAGGTAGTGTCCAGGCCTAAGGCTGCAGCCACATCCTGGTTGTCCCAACACTCATCTCACTGGTAGCATTTCGTAATGTGTTATCATGTGTGCATGAGAATCACATCAATTTTTCCTTCATTGGCATGCTACATTTTAATAATTGTTCAGATTTCATTTTTTAAAAAAGGATGCTATTATAAGCTATAAAACTCAGAAGGGCTTTGAAAAATCAGAGCCGACTGGAAAAGCCTTTGCATTAAATGCCTGTTCTGAGTGGATGTGCTCATCTATACTTCAGATCAGAGAGATGTTTTTGAAGAAATACCATCAGCTATTTTGATATGTTCTTTGCTGACACATACTCACCACTGATTTCAGTATCTCCCAAGCCAACTTTGCAAAATAGAGAACTTAAGTGGAAATAAAGTTATCTGTATCCACTATTGCTTGGAGATGTGATGTAAAGCCTTAAAAGTGAATATGAGATTTGGAATTTAGAAAAGGAGCTCTTCTGACCTTTGATCACTCATCTTTTTTTTTTTTTTTTTTTTTAAGCTGAGCTCTCTTGAGTTGTTTAGTAGCTTTCATGGGCTAAATCTGTGAAATTCATTACCCTCCCCACACAGTGCATGGCTGATGATGTCTCCACTTAGTTTTGCTTTTTTCACTCATGTTTTTATTTTTAAGCCTAAGGGTTGCCACGTGTTTGCATAGCTCAGCAGTCAGAGTGGACAGAGGTTGTGTTCAAATACTTCAAGCTAGTAAGACTTTCTTGGAACTATGTGTGGGTAGAAAAGCATATTAAAAGTTTGGGTATTTTTCAAAGCTGTTCTGGCTTTGAATTTACACTGTGCTTTTTCTTGTGAGCTATGTGCATGTTCTCAGCCTCAAGATCAGCCAGGAGTGTGTGAACAGCTTATGCCAGATGAGCAGCCTCAGGCAGGAATACGTCTCTGTCAGACCAGTGGAGTTATTGACCCTCACTGCTGGCTGCCTTGGGTCATCACTTCTGCTGAAAATACACTTGAGCATGGGCATCTCCCACCTTTTTGAGCCTGGTGAGTCCACATTTACCTGGCAGAAAAGTTGTGGTCTTTAGGCTCATCCTGCCCTCTTCGAGCTTCCATATGGATTGGGAAGGAGTTCAGTCCCAGGCAAGCAGGCACCAGATTCCCCCTGTTCTGACCCAAAGTTCAGCAGATTTTCAAACATAAATGTTTCTCAGGTCGTTATATGCTGTTGTTCAACTTCCAACTCTGGGATGGTTGATTTTGCTAATTTTGTCCAGCTTTATAGATGTTGTGGAGAGAGAGGATTTGTCTATCTCTTCACTTGGCTATTCCTGGAACTTGTAATAGGTTTTGCTTTGCTTCACGCACTCCTGGCTACTGAGTCTTTCTCTCAAATGTCATTCCCATATCTACCGTCATGTCATTGCTTGCTCTGAGAACCGGACCTGCAATGTTTGTGCCAGTTACTAAGTTATTGGCACTTAGTTACAACGCTATCCTTTTGTTCTTAACTTCGTGATGAAATTTTTATCTTTGTCCACTGGCTCCCTCTTAGGCTCTGCCAGTAGAGGGTGCTAGAGGGAGACTCCATGACTGGATAGGGCCAGGCAGGACTTGCTCCTGGTTTGCTTCCCGGTTTTCGCAGGGCTAACTTAGAATAGGTTTCTCCACTTTGGCATTTTGGACTGAGTCATTCTTTCTTGGGGGATGGTGTCTCGTGTGTTGTAGGATGTTTAGCAGCACCCTGTCCTCTACCTACTAAATTGTAGTACCAATCCCTCAGTTGTGACAATTAAGACTGTCTTCAGACATTGCCAAATGTTCCCTGGAGGGCAAAATCGCCCCTGGTTTAGAACCACTGACCTAGAGTCTAGGTATAGACATACTTCTTCACTTTGGCAGCTGCAATTCCTTCCCTTGGCAGCAGCTGAATCCATTTTTGTAATAGACTATAATGTATACAGGCAATGTACACATATTCCTTATTATAATGTATACATACAATGTATACCACCTAGCCACTAAATAAGATGACTTACATCCATATTCATTGACTTTAAAAGATTTCTGTAACAGAATAATTGAAAAATAAAACAGGTTTCCAAAATAAAAAAGTAGAGTTTCAGTGTGAGTGTTTGTGAATGTGTTTGTGTATGCTGTGCAATTATGAATGCCTGGAAAGACCTTCGCTAAGGTGTTCAAGGAGGTGGGATTTTAGGAAACTTCTAGTCTCTTTGCGTTTTTCTGAATTGCTTGAATTTTCTGTATGTGCACAGGTTATTTTACAATGAAAACTGATGTAATTATACTTATTTAAAAGAAAAAGAAAGGCAGAAAGGAAGGTGGGGAGGAAATGAGTAACAGAAGGAAAAAAAGAATAGAGAAAAAAAAGAAAACAAGGTTGCTGTGGGCTGACAGAGACTTAAGAATAGCTATTATTTGGATCAGCCTTCTGAATTCATATACCTGGGTGCAGAGGTTTGACAGGATCGTTGTCAGTCTCGTATAGCACTGTCCTTTGGCATGATAAGAATATCCTCTTTTCCCGTTACTTTAAGGGCAAGATCTGCCTGTCAAGGCTGATTCTGCACTTTGAAGAATCATCCTTTATACCTCCCTCTCTTTCATGCCCTACATCCTATCTATCACCGAACATTGTTACCTCTTCCCCCTAAATAACCTGTCTCAGCCCCTCTGTACCTATTGTTACCTCCTCCCTTCTCTTCCCTGGACCATTGCAAAGCCTCCTAATTGGTTATCATGTTGTTGCTTTTGTACCCCTCAAATCCCATTCTTTATATTGCAGCCAGCCTAATCTTTCTAAAATGTAAATCTGACTATGTCATTCCCTAGCTTAAAAGCCTTAAATGGGTCTCCATCGAGAAGTAATAAAGTCAATAGTCTTGAACCAGGCTCTTGGTGACAATGCAGTAGTTAAGGAATGAATTCTGGAGTTCATAGCCAAGTTTTACTACTTACTAACTGAATGGCCTTGAACAAGTTAGTGAACCTCAGTTTTCTTTTCTGTGAAATGGGCATGATGACAGTATTTACTTGTATGATTACTGAGAAATTATATATATACATATATGTCTTTAAAACATGTATCTATATCTTTTAAATATATACATATACATATATGTTTAATCACAGAACAGTATTTGGCACTCAGTAAGTACTGATTAAATGTTACCTCATGTTATTGCCTGTCTTCGACTACTCTCAATTACTTACCCAGTGCTTCAGCTGCAATATAGTTTTGTAAAACACTTTGTTCTTCCAAACCTTTGTGATTCCAAATAATCCTGTTCCTGTTGCCTAAAATGCAAAGCCCAAGCTCTTTTCTTCTTCATCTTAAGGCATTCCCAAGTCCTAGAAATAAAAATCGTTTTATTCCACTTCCCAGGCTACTGTATGCATGTGTTCATGAATATGCATTGGGAATGTCTGTTTATAAGGCTTTACTCTCAATTGAACTTGCGCTCTCTAAGGCAAGGATCTTGACTTGTTTATCACAGTGCCAATTAAATACCTGGCATTCAGTAAATGTTATTAAATAAATGAACAAAGGGGAAGACTCCATTCTTTGAGACTCCTTGTGTGTTGTGGTTCTACCTTTGCTGGTGAGAGTCGTTTCTACTTGTGTCCCATCTTCCTGCCTAGGTTATAACATCTTTTCTAGATGGGCAATGGACCCTTATGTATTCCTTACGTTGCATCAGCTTAGAACTGTAATACAGTACAACTACAGCACTTCCTACCTTCTACTGTGGTTAGTTGTGCATGTGACTAGCCCACCTACTAGACTGCATTTTTTTCAAGGCAGGAGCTGCCTTGTTAATTTGCTTCCCATTCTTCAACATATATTAGTGACATAGCAGAAGAAGCACTGGATTGGTATTGGTAGGAGTCTTGGGGCCCAGTATTCCAAACACATGCTTTATTGTAAAGAGGCTTTTTCCTTGAGTCTGGTAACTGTACCCAAAATTGTACCCAAAATTATTTAAAGCCTGTAGGACCCATGTTATAACAAAGTGATACAACTTTTTTTTGTAGCCTATTGGTTTGAATTTAAGAGCAAATGCTGTACTTGGATTGTAAGAGCATGACTGATTTTCAGTGATGTAGTTTGAGATCGTTGGAGGGAAACTTGTTCTGGTGAGGCCCAGCCCGTGTGTATCTGGCTGTTCCCCATAGGAATTGCAACTCAGCCCAAGTTCATGCTATGAAAGGTTGCCTTTTGAATATCAGTTTCATGAAGAGGCTTTCCCTAATTGCCCTCTGTACAGGATTTGCTTTTCTTGAGTGGCATTACTCTATCCTCAGCTCCTCTAACTATGCCAGGTACATGATAGGAGGCCCCAAAATGTTTGTTTCCTTATCCAGAGCAGCCTGCGGTAACAGGGAACTACTCTGCTCTGCTCTTAAACCTGCTGAAACTCTCTGATAGAACTGAGACCGTTCCCCTCCAGGAGAAGTTCCCAGAGCCATTCAGAGACAGACAGACTGGGTGACAGCTCTTACCACCCCTCCTTACCCCCTGGCCTACCTGCAACTGCACCTGCCTAGGGTAGTGGGAACAGTGACCCTGATTCTACCTCAAACCACAGACCCTCTTGTTCCTACCTGCCATTAGGTCTCACAGAGGCTGCAGGTGGCAATATAGCTTACTTTTGTTCATTTGTATTTGAAATGCCTTTTTCTCTTTGGAAGAACTCTTTAAGAAAAAAAAAAGGTATCTTCTTTTATTTCCTCCTTCAGGACTAGGGAATTTGTCTCTAGTAGATAGAAGGGAATTCTCTAAACAGATTGAAATATAGTGGAGCATGGAGACTTGCCTTCTCTCCTTAACTCTAACTTCACCAGCTGTGTTCATGGACAACTGACCTTGGTACCCTGAATCTTAGTGTCCTCAGCTGAGCAATGGGGATATGCATGCCTTTTCTGCTAAACTCACAGTGAGTTAACCTGTGTCTTGCTGGAAAGAATCAGGGTTCTAATAATCAACCTTTACATATAATGTCTTGCAGAAAGCATCAGCCGCCACGTACCTTGGGTGCAACCCAGTTCTCACTTCCTGCAGCTGCTGTCACAGATGGTGATGACCAATGAGAAGACTGATGATCCATAGGCTCTGTTACATTGCAGTAATGTTGAGTGTACAGCGTGGAGAGATTTTACATATGCATGCACTCATATAACCACCATATCAACATATAGAATAGCTCCAGCACCCAAGCAATTTCACTCATGTCCCTCTCAGTTTGTACTTCCAGAGACATCCACAATTCTGACCATCAATTTGTTTTGCCTGTTCTTGGGCCTCATATATAGGAATAACATAGTATGTTCTTTTTGCCTCTAGCTTCTTTCAGTCTGTGGAAATGGATAAACTCGATGGGATTCATTCTATGTTGAACCTGGATTGCAGTTCCTTCTTATCTGTTGACTTGAATGAGTCTTTAGAGGGAGCCAGACACTGTCCTACATGCTGTACATGTATTATCTCACTTAATTCTTAACACTAAGGTAGGGACTTTTCCTTTCATAAATAAGGCTCAGAGAAGTTAAGTAATTTGCCTCAAGTCACAGAGCTATTAAATGTTGAAGACAGAATTCTTGTTCAGTTTGGGTTCCAGAGCTTGAGCTCACTAGCAAGGGCAAGAGCTTGACATGCTTTCAGAATTAGACGAAATCAGATTTGTCTCCAGTTCTATTTTGAAGGTCATGTGATTATTGTGTGGTTATTCACAAAGGGGTCTCTATGGGAACTCGCCTTTCATTTGAATATTCTATCAGAATATTTCCTCTCCCCTGCTTAATCATTAGGGTTTCTCACCCGTGCGTGCTTGTGTGCATGTGTATGTGTGTAGATTCGACTCTCCTTGCCTTGCCTGTGCCTGCATTTGCTTTGGGATCCAGACCTGCATCTTTCTGGCTCTGCAGGAGGCTGCTTTCTCCAGGCCTTGCCTGAAAGATTAAGCTGCTTAACGATGTCTTCCTCCTCCTTCCGGGGTATGATCTTTGATGAAGGAATCAGACAGACCTCTGTCTGACTGTGTGGCTACTTTCCCATTCTCAGCTTGTGGGGGTTTCTAAGGAAACGCGAGCTGCAGTAGATTTTTCTCTCCAGTGTGTGTAGTCTGACTTGCTGTACTCCCACCTTCGAGTCTCACCTTCTTCCCCTGGTGATGGATGACCCCTTGTCTGGGGTGTGAGATTGGAGATAGAGCAGCCTTTGGTAGAGGGTGGGGGACCATCCTGGATGTGGACCGAGAGTTTTAGCTTTGAACAAGCCAGGACTGATACCTAGGCTCACAGGGGTTTTCCCAAAAACTCACCCCAACTTTTCTCTTTTGTAAAATCATCCTTTGAATTTATCTCTGCTCTGTATAGCTTTCCTTCTAAACACAGTATTCATGCCTTTCCCCCCTGGGCTCTGAACTAATCCATTACATTTGGATAAGACATAGACAATGGGTAAATGCCCCCTTGCAGGCTGGAGAATTAAATAGATAATCTGAGCTCTGTTTGGGTCTGTGGCTCAGTGCATAAGGTAATTTGTAAGAGGCTTTGGTCTTCCTTTCTCCATGCAAATGAAGAGAATAAGTAAAGGAAAAAAGGGAAGGTGGGTGAACCTTTTTGAATACTGGCATTAGAGTCACTAGGACAGGCAGAATATAGCTTTTCATTTAACCCCTTGTGGGCTGTTTTCCCTAAGTAACTTTCCTTAATCAGGAAAGATCAGCATTTGCAGTAATTGTGCAATTGATTCCTACCCAGTGCATTAAGTCCCATGTACTATAAATTTGTTCCTTGTTCATCACTGTGTTCCCAGTGCCCATAAGTGTTAGCTCATAATAGGCATTTAATAAATATTCTCAAATGTTTGTAGAGTTGTTCATTAGCAGTATAAAAATTATTTGGGTAGAGAATAGTTGCAATGAAGTAGAAGGATCATGGACTAAAAAGATGATACAGATCATCTCCCCTGGTGATTTCTAAGGCCCTGTCAGATTTGGTTCTGGATTCCAGCAACTCAGTGTTTACCTGGTCCAGATAATTAAGCTCTGAATCGATCACTGCCCTCCACCACAAGTCATTCTCTATGCCTAGAACACCCTCATTTTCAAGCTGTCTCCTTTTCTACAAAGCACTTAAACAAGGCATCGTGGTGCCTGTTCCCATGCCTCTTGGGACCAGCCACCCAAATCCAGTGACTGGAACTCAGTAAACTCACAGATGAGGAAGCCACAGATCTTCACAAAGAAGCCTGGGCCTGCTGTCAATTACCATTTCCTCACGCTGGCCTCAGCATGGCCTCTGAGAGCACAATGTACACAAAATTATAATGTTATCACACAGGCTGGTGCCCACAATGAGGGCAGCCGCTTAGGAAGGCACACACCAGGGGCAGGAAGGCACAAAGGCCATTCTGAGGCTACAGTCACATGTATTCATATTTTCAGCAGAGGGGGGCTGAAATACAATTTCAATGAAGATTGCATTATGGATTATTGCTTGAAAAAGCTTTGGCAAAGGACTAAGGAGAGTCTTTCTTTTCCAGAGGGGGCTTTTTCCTTCACAGGGGTTGAGGGAAATGGGAGGAAAGGGAAGGCTTTTGCTTCTATTTTCTGCAGGTGACGTGGGATGCTTTAGTGATAATGTGTGACAGCTTCCTAAGCAAATCACCATGTGACTCTGTGTATGTGTGTTTTATTTGAATAACTCAGATCCCGTTCGGTAGGCAGACCAGATGCTGTTACTACCATTTTACACATGTGGAGACTGAAACTCAAAGAAGATAAATGGCTGTGCTCTTGTAATTAGCTAGTACCATTATAAAGTTGAAATTCCTTCTCTTAGCTTGCAACCCCTTGTTGTTCTGATTCCTACTTATCACTTCAGTCTCCTTGTGCAGCATGATTTTCCTCTCAGTCTAAACTCCTTCCACAATCAACCTGTGGACCTTTGATACATTGTGTTCTTCCTTTCCTCCGCACTTTGCACATGTTGTTCCCTTCTGTGCAGCCTGCCTTCTCCTTCACCTACTTCTTCCCTGTCTTTCAGATCTTGCCTTACACAAAAAAGCTTCCTTGACCTCTCAGGACTAGGTACCCTGCCCTGTCTGTATGATACCATGCACCCAGAGTCCACTCTGTTCTTAGCACTTTGTACTGAAATTGTGCATTAACTCTTCTGTCTTTCTCACTGGACTGTGGTTCCTTGTGGAACAAAAAACACCCTGAATTGCTCCATTGAGTCTACAAGTGAGTGGAAATAGAGGGTGTAGGAGGAAAAAGTTAAGGGCTTAGCATGCCATAAGAAACTAGCTACACTTGAAACATGCCCAGGTTGGGAAGCGCTAAGATACACAGCAATGTCAGCCACCTCAAGGCAACTGAGAAGCTACTTTTTTTGCTACCTCTGAGGCATCTGGTTTCACTTCTCCACTTAAGGCACTGCTTAGGACCCAATCACTTCATCTCATTTGAGCCTCAATTTTCTCATTCAAAAATGGAGAAGCAAGTGCTAGATAAAGTGAGATAAGAGTGGGAAAGTATATTGTAAGGCATAAATAGCACTAAATAAATCTTTGTTAGTATTATGCAAAAATCTCCAAAACACTGTTGATGAGTGAAATAGTGTTGTGATCTCATTTGTGTAAAAAATAATTATGAAACAAAAAGACTTGCACTTTTAACAAAGTCAGAAAACCAGACTTCAGAAAGTACTCTCTTCCTCATAAGACAACAGACAGGCAGAAAGCAAAATGCCACATTCATGAACAGAAGAGATTTCACTATTGGGAGGCATTGTATTCATTCTCAAATTGAAGAATTTTAAATACCACCAGGAGTGTTAGTTTGGAAGCAGTATTGCTTGGAAATCTTTCATCATGAAGTCATTTATTGAATACGTGCCTGCTAAATTTCACTCTCTGCTCATCACCTGCAACGTGCCAGGCATTGCTTCACGCACTCCTGGCTACTGAGTCTTTCTCTCAAATGCCATTCCTGTATCTACGGTCATGTCATTGCTTGCTCTGATAGCCGGACCTGCAATGTTTGTGCCGGTTACTAAGTTATTGGCACTTAGCTACAACCCTATCCTTTTGTTCTTAACTTTGTGATGAAATTTTTATTTCTGTTTTGTCCACTGGCTCCCTCTTAGGCTCTGCCAATAGGGGGTGCTAGAGGGAGACTCCAAGGCTGGATGGGGCCAGGCAGGACTTGCTCCTGGTTTGCTTCCCGTTTTTCACAGTGTTAACTTAGAATAGGTTTCTCCACTTTGGCACTTTGGACTGAGTCATTCTTTGTTGGGGGATGGGGTCTCGTGTGTTATAGGATGTTCAGCAGCACCCTGTCCTAAATTGTAGTACCAATCCCCTAATTGTGACAATTAAGACTGTCTTCAGACATTGCCAGATGTTCCCTGGAGGGCAAAATCACCCCTGGTTTAGAACCACTGACCTAGAGTCTAGGTATAGACATACTTCTTCACTTTGGCAGCTGCAATTCCTTCCCTTGGCAGCAGCTGAATCCAGGCTGCATTTTTCCAACACCTGCAGACAGCTTTGTCACACCTCAGTTAGGTAACATTAGTACCAGCTGACATCCTCAGAGGTCTGGGCCGGCCCTGAGGCCCTCTTCTGAGCTGAGACACCAGCCCTTGGCTGAGTAGTGCCCTTTTTTGGAGATCTGATTTTAACACCACCACCTGCCAATGGGTTTTCTCCTCTAAGTCTCTAGGTTTCTTCCCTTGTCCTTTCCTTATAGGGGTAGTAGCTGCTTCTTGCAATTGCTACTTTCATGATGCCTTAGAATTCCTTTTAATCTCTCAGTTACTTAGCTAATAATTTTATACCTTAACACTTTTGTCCATTGAAATCTCTATTCCAAAGTAACTGGGATATTTTCTCTGGCATCTGACTGATACAGTGTTCTTTTTCCCCACCAACGCTTTCCTTCTCTCTCCTCTCCTTCCATTCCCTTTTCTTCTTCTCTACCTGGCAAACTCCTACTCTCTTTCAGAGCTCTGACAATTACTCCCCTTTTCTGGAGCATTCTGGACTCTACTAGGCAGAGCCAGTCACCCTCCTTTAGTCTCCTGGTACTTGGTACAGGTGCTTCTTACCTGTGGCAGAGCCCTGTATATATATATCTCTGTTTTTCCTGCCAGGTTGTAAAGTCTTGAGAGCAGAAACCACACCACATTCCTTTCTGTATTCCTAGCACATTGCTAATGAATGAATGAATGAATGAATGAATGAATGAAGAACTGCATGACACAGGACTCCTGTCTGTTTCAAGCCTGGTGATCTGGTGGTGCATTTTTCTGCTCCTCACATTCTGCCTAGATTGTAGTCTCAGTGAGGGTCGGGATGGACTCTACTGTACTCCCTTCAGTGGCTGACCCAACACCATGACAGCCATTGTGTTGGGTTTTTCTAACGAGTCTTTTTTGCTCAATAGATATTAAGCTCCTCCAGATAGGGGTTTTTGGGTACAAAGGAGTTTCTTACTGAATATGTGTTGAATGACTTGCTGAAGGTAACCAAAGGAGGTTTCAAAGGAAAGCCCTTGAAGGATAGGGAGCGTTTTTTAAAATGAAGGCTTCATCCTTGGTGATGGATCAGGGATAACATGAGGAAACACAAATAAGTTGTTTAGGGAATCGCTGACTATTTGAGTCTGGTAGAAGGCAGGGCACATAGGAAATTTGAAAGATGAGGCTGCCAAGGTAGATAGGATATAGATTTTGGACACCCTGAAGAAGAAGGATAAACACAAGGTACAGTAGTTTTGGGGGGAGTCCTGGTGTAAGAGAGTGTTATTACCAGGCTTCACTTCTTGGGATAGGCCCTCAGCACACTAGATGAGAAACTGGGTGGAGGCCATTCAGGAGAAGCTGTGTGCTGTCAAACATGACAGGACGGGTTAACACAGAGAACAAGGCTCCCACAGTCCTGGCAACTCTATTCTGTAAGAAGCAGATTCTTTTTGTGGAGGAAGATGAATACTCCATCCTATAGACAATGGAGACCAAAAGGAGGTGAGAAAAGGAAAGAATAGAAATGTAACAATCACCCCACATTACAGCTCTAGGTTGAATGGTTCAGCTTCAGCTTTTTTTGGTCTAATTATCACAGAGTTTTTCACATTTTGATGTATTTCATAAGATATGAAAGACAATAATAAAACAGTGTCTATATTAGCTTTCAAGCAGACTTGTGTGGCAGGGCCAACAGCAGTTTGTAGAATTCAGCTGGGATCTATTTCAGGAGGGAGTAAGAATCCATTATAATTCTTAAAAGAAAGAAAACAACAGCAGCCTGGGTATGACCTGCTCATCATGATCTGTGCAATGTGGATAATGATATCAGCTTTCCTTTGTGTTCCAGGGCTTTTTGGAAAATCAAATAAGATGAAAGATGTGGAAGTACTTTGTAAATCAGTAAGTGCCTATAAAATCCATCCAGTCATTCAGCAAACACGCTAAAGTTGTCCTGTATGACAGAAATATTATCAGGCACTCGGGGGTAAAGGCATGAATGAGACATGGTCTCTGTCTTTCGAATCTCTAGATGGACAGGTAGGGTTTGACAAAGATACTTGCCATGCCATAAAAGAAGTTTCACACATTTTATAAGAAATTGTCACTAATATTGCACTTAGTAAGATGAGCTTGGTTGCTAGTGGCTGCCAATTTTTTTGTTTTCTTTCTAGAAGAGTACTCAGAAGCAATGTCATGTGGTCCAGATTTGGAGCTTTGAAGACAAAGGATAAAGTTTCAAGTTCATTCTCTGTCATTTAATAACTGTGTGATTTGGACCGGCCACTTGTTTCGTCACCTGTACATAACTCTTTCTATCTAACTCAGAAGGTTACTGAGATAACTATATTGGCTAATAGATGTTGAAGTGCTTTTAAAACTGGAACTTACTACTCGTATGTTGTGAATGATTGGTTGAGAATAATAGAAAAAACTGGTAATATTTTCTTTCATGGTCATTGCTGTGAATGGCTCTTTAATTAAGGATAAGAAAACTGGCACTAAATGTGTAGTAAGGAAATAGTATATGTCTGATGTTGCAATAGGGATTAGCATGATAGAGCTCGTGTAATCCTAATGATAACCTTGTGTGACAGGCATCATTCTCCCCATTTTGCAGAGAAGACTGAGAGGCAGAGATTTGCATGCATGTTCCTAAGGTGCACAGGTAGTACTTTGAAGGGTGAGGAGCTGCCCAGGAGGAAGGCTTGTGCCTGATGTGCCAATGGGCAATGTCATTCTTCAAACTTCCCTTTACCCCTTCCTTTACTGCTTCCGATGGCTTTGTTTTGGGATACAGATTCACTGTGGCATTTCTCTTTACCTTCTCTCTGATAAGGCAGTGGTAGAGTGGAGTAGGGATCTTATTAGGCAAATACTTGCCCAAGAATCAGCCCTTCATATACATGGACAAGCATCCAGGGATAATGAAATTCCAGCTTGTAGAATGGGGGGTATAGTATGTCCCTGTGTGAGCTTATGAGAATTTCCCTTTCCGTGTGTATCCTCTTCAGGACATCACTGAGTAACATGGAAGTGAGTCGAAAAAATACTAATTTTACCATATATTTGCCTGATGTATCTGATCTTCTTTCGCCACCCCACCTCAAGACCCTTTAATATTTTTACTCATTTTCACCCTGGAATCAACCTTGTTCCTGATTTCTGTGCTTTTTCGTATCTTGTTCTCTCTGCCTGGGATATTCTTCTGTTACTTAAATCTCTGATAAAGACCTACTTGTTCTTCAGAACCTGGCTCAAGAAGTTCCTTCCCCACAGAGTTGGTTGTTTTCTTCTTTGCTTCAACCGTTCTTCCAATGGATAGACTTTTACCACTTATCCAGCTATATCAAAATGTGTATTTACTTGTCTTTCTTCCTTACTGGAATTAACTCTCCAGGGAAAGGGGCTGCAAATTATTTCCTTCTTTATCTTCAGTATCTAGCAGGTACATTGCACATAGTATGCATTCAGGAACCGTTTGCTGAATGAATGCACAAAAGAATGAATGAGCCTGTAAGGCAGCGTTCTGGCCAGGGTATGCAGACACAGGGCAGCCACTGTTAAGATAGCCTTCTATGCAATTTCATTTTCTTGTTTACAAATTTTCAAGATATTTGGTACTTTTTGGTTGACTTAGAGAAGAATACTTAACAAAAACTATGGTCTTATCCACTTCTCAAAAGAAGACATTTATGCAGCCAACAGACACATGAAAAAATGCTCTCATCACTGGCCATCAGAGAAATGCAAATCAAAACCACAATGAGATACCATCTCACACCAGTTAGAATGGCAATCATTAAAAAGTCAGGAAACAACAGATGCTGGAGAGGATGTGGAGAAATAGGAACACTTTTACACTGTTGGTGGGACTGTAAACTAGTTCAACCATTATGGAAGACAGTGTGGCAATTCCTCAAGGATCTAGAACTAGAAATACCATTTGACCCAGCCATCCCATTACTGGGCATATACCCAAAGGATTATAAATCATGCTGCTATAAAGACACATGCACACATATGTTTATTGCGGCACTATTCACAATACCAAAGACTTGGAACCAACCCAAATGTCCATCAATGATAGACCGGATTAAGAAAATGTGGTACATATACATCATGGAATACTATGCAGCCATAAAAAATGATGGGTTCATGTCCTTTGTAGGGACATGGATGAAGCTGGATACCACCATTCTCAGCAAACTATCGCAAGGACAAAAAACCAAATACCGCATGTTCTCACTCATAGGTGGGAATTGAACAATGAGAACTCTTGGACACAGGAAGGGGAACATCACACACCAGGGCTTGTCGTGGGGTGAGGGGACGGTGGGGGGAGGGAAAGCATTAGGAGATATACCTAATGTAAATGATGAGTTAATGGGTGCAGTACACCAACATGGCACATGTATACATATGTAACAAACCTGCACATTGTGCACATGTACCCTAGAACTTAAAGTATAAAAAAAAAACCAAAAAACTATGGTCTTATTAAAACTTAGTGGAACCTACCTTGAGTATGTTTGGTACAGGAAAGTGAGCCTCCCAACCTGCTCCCACTTTTTTTTTTTTTTTTAGACTTCCCAGTCTTCGTATTTTACCTAAATGCAAATTCACTGCCTTGGAGAGTGTGAGTCCAAGAAGAAATCCTTTGGGGCAAGTTGCCACATTTTATCTATGCTCCTTTTTTCATTTTAGCCTGTCTTCCAGTTATTTTTAGTAAAGTACTTATCAGGTGGGGAGAAGCTTGACTGTGAATAGGGGATGGAAAAGAGCTGTGAAATGCCTTGCTCAGACAAAGGAGATGCTTATTTAAACTGCTGCATTATTTAATTTGTCTGCTGCTTCTGGGTTTTGTAGGCACATAGAACCTGTGAGTCTAAGACCTTGACCCTTAGAGATTTTGGAATAGAGACATAGTAGAGAATATGTGGGTGCCTTGGGGCCAGGCATACCTGGGTTCAAATCTTGGCTCTGCAACTTCCTGGCTATTAAGTATGAGTAAGTTTATTAGCCTCTCTGAGGTTTTCTTCCTTTATCTGTACAATGAGAATACTAACACTTATTTTGCAGTGATTTGTAAGTCTTAGAGATGATACATTTAAAACACTTGGTACATAGAAGGCTTTCAATGAATGGAAGCTAATGTAATCATTGGCTCTCTCCCTCTTACTTTTTGAGTAACAATAGTAATTTACCCTGAAGAGTATTTAAACCTTTCTTTGTGGCTGAAAGCATCACCAGTAAGCAACTGACTTAGCTTCATTATAAAAGAAGTTTTTTTTCTATTTCTTTTATCCTTTATGTTAGCTACCTTGGTTTCAAGATGAAAATGTGGTGTTTTAAGGTTGAACTCATATTTATCAGTGAAAGGCTGCAAAAATAATAGTGTGAGTGGGGTGGATAGGGGAGCAGAGAAGAAGGCTTTGTGAAAACTCCCCGTTTGGTAAAAATCACCTCCTACCTTGTAGCAAGGTGTGTGTGCGTATGTGCAGCTGTTGGTTTCAACACTCAGTTGTTGATTTAAGGTTCCAAAGGTGCTGTTTTGCCCTGGGGAACTGTTTGAGTTGTGTCAGGTTGATGGTTCAGGGCCTGAGTATGACTCTTGTCAAATTTGGGATCCGAAGCCCTGTATGAACCCGGTTTAGTATTCAGGAAACGTATCCATAGCAGCCGCTGTCAGGGTAACTATCACTAAGGGCAGACAGTTGATGGCTTCCTTCCTGCTATATGCCTGCCCTAAAGTCTTAAAAATAGTGCCCTCCATCACCACCCACTTGCAAGATAGAATAAAGTCTTTCCTTCTTTCCATAGATAGTAGCCCTCCTGCCTCCCTTAGTTATAATTATATGATAATAATCAACACTTATGTTCTTCCTCCTTCTTGGAGGCCATCCCTATTAGAATCTCTTGTTCACTAGAACAAGAGAATTTTTTGTTCATACCTATCATAAAACTTGCACCTCTTTGTTCTTACTATCTGCTGATCAGAGAGAGACAGAAAATTAATAAGTAGACAAGAAACTTTTAGTAAGAAGTACTATGAAGAAAATAAAAGAGATAGTGGAATGGAGAGAAAGGGGTAGAAATTACTACTGTTGTAGGGTGACCAGGGGAGAACTGTTTGTGGACATGATATTTAAGCTGAGGCCTTAACAGCAAGAAGAATCACATGAATTCACATGAAGAACTTGGAGTAAAGACCATTCCAGGCAGTGGAACACCTCACACCACAGCTCTGAGACAGGGGAGATCATGGTCTATTTGATGATTGATATGGTTTGGCTGTGTGCCCACCCAAATATCATCTTGAATTGTAGCTCCCATAATCCTCATGTGTCGTTGGAGGGACCTGGTGGGAAGTAATTGAATCATGAGGTTGGGGGGGGGGTGTGATTTCTGTGCTGCTCTCATGATAGTGAAAAAGTCTCGAGAGATCCGATGGTTTTATAAAGGGCAGTTCCCCTGCGCAAGCTCTTTCCTGCCACCATGTAAGACATGCCTTTGCTCCTCCTTTGCCTTCTGCCATGATTGTGAGACCTCCCCAACCATGTGGAACTGTGAGTCCATTAAACCTTTTTTTCCTTGTAAATTACTCAGTCTCAGGTATGTCTTTATTAGCAGCATGAGAATGGACTAATACAATGATCGAAAGGAAGCTTAGTGGTCAAAATGTAGTTTGCAAGGGAGAAAGAAGTAGTTCACAAAGTCAAGAGGCAGACAGAGGCCAAGCCATGTAGCATCTTTCAGGTCACAGTAAAGAGTTCAGAATATATTCTAAGACAGTGGGTAGCGGTTGGCAGTTTCAAGCTGAGGAAATAGTATGATGTGGTGTGTGTTCTGAAAATATCAATCTGGCTGCCATGTAGAAAATACCCTGTAGGGGTGAGAGAGTGGAAGACAGGCCAGTTAAGAGATAAGTGCAATAGTCCTGGTGGTAGGTAATTGCCAGTTGGACTAAGGCATGTGTGGCTAGTGATGGTGAGGGGGTTGCAGATGGTAGGTCAGGCTACAGAGAAAGCTTGGCCTTAAAATCAGAAGTCTTACCATGTTGGCGAGAACATTTTGTTGATTTGATGACTCCTCAATACTTTCCCTGGTTTCATGGATTTTGAATTCCATTTGTCACTGAAAACACAAGGGGCTTTCTTTGGCACTTTAGATTGCTTTTTTTTTTTTTTTTCTCCAGCTATAGTATGTCTTGGTAAAATATCATGAGCTTCAGAGTAATACAGATATGGATTGAAATCCCTGCTCCAATGCTAATTGGATGGTTGACAGGATAGTTTTTTAATTTAATATCTCCAATCTTCAGTTTCCTCTACTGCAAAATGGACTTAATAATAATGCCTGCTTCCTGCAGGTTTATACTGTTGGGTCAGATGAGACTGCATTTGTGGGAATATCTAGCACATAGTAAGCTCTCAATGAAAGTTATTTGCTTTGGGTATGTACTCTGCAGAGGGACTGCTGAGCCATATGGTAGTTCTATTTTTGTTTTTTTGAGAAGCCTCTATATTATTTTACATAATGGCTATACTATTTTTTTTTTTTGAGATGGAGTCTTGCTCTGTTGCCCAGGCTGGAGTGCAGTGCAATCTCAGCTCACTGCAAGCTCCGCCTCCTGGGTTCTTGCCATTCTCCTGCCTCAGCCTCGAGTAGCTGGGACTACAGGCGTCTGCCACCACGCCTGGCTAATTTTTTGTATTTTTGGTAGAGAGGGGATTTCACTATGTTAGCCAGGATGGTCTCGATCTCCTGACCTCGTGATCCGCCTGCCTCGGCCTCCCGAAGTGCTGGGATTACAGGCATGAGCCACCACGCCTGGCGTGGCTGTACTTTTTTTTTTTTTTTTTTTTTGAGACGGAGTCTTGCTCTGTTGCCCAGGCTGGAGTGCAGTGACATGATCTCAGCTCACTGCAACCTCCGCCTCCCAGGCTCAAGTGATTCTCCTGCCTCAGCCTCCTGAGTAGCTGAGATTACAGGCACCTGCTACCATGCCCGGCTAATTTTTGTATTTTTAGTAGAGACGGGGTTTCACCATATTGGTCAGGTTGGTCTCAAACTCCTGACCTCCAGTGATCTGCCCACCTCAGCCTCCCAAAGTGCTGGGATTACAGGCGTGAGCCACTGCACCTAGCCAATGGCTATACTATTTACATTCCCACCAACAGCATACAAGGGTTCCCGTCTCTCTACATCCTTGTCAACACTTACTATTTCTTGTCTTTTTGATAATAGCCATCCTAACAGGTGTGAGGTAATATCATGTTCACTGCAGCATTACACAATAGCCAAGATATGGAAACAACCTAAGTATCCATTGATGGATGGATGGATGGATAAAGGAATTATGGTATATGTTATATATTTCACATATATATGTGCAATATATTCACATATATTCTATTATAAATAATAGAATTTATAATAGAATATTCTGTTATATATTATAAATGGAATACTATTCAGCCTTAAAAAAGGATATGCTGCCTTTTGTGCCAACATAGGTGAACTTGGAGGACATTATGCTAAGTGAAATAGAGCCAGGCAGAGACAGACAAATATCACATGATCTCAATTATATGTGGAATGTAAACAACATAGATTACATAGAAACAGAGAATAGAACCATGATTGCCAGGAGTGGGAAGGGGAGAAAATGGAGAGATGTAGATCAAAGGGTACAAACTTGCAGTAATGCAGGATGAATAACTCTAGAAATCTGATGTACAGCTTGAGGACTAGTTAATTATATTGTATTATATATAAGAAATTTACTATGAGTAGATTTTGGGTGTTCCTCACACACATACATGCACACACACACGGTAACTATTTGAGGTGATGAACATATGGATATGTTAATTTGCCACTTCACTATGTATGTGTACAGTCGACCCTTGAACAACATGAGGGTTAGAAGAGCCAACCCCCCATGAAGTCAAAATCTGAGTTTAATTTTCACTCCCCAAAAACACGATTACTAATAACCTACTGTTGACCAGAAGCCTTACCAATAACCTAAACAGTCAATTAACACAAATTTAGTATGTTATATGGATTATGTACTGTATTTTTACAATAAAGTAAGCTAGATAAAAGATAATGTTATTAAGAAAATTACAAGGAAGAGAAAATATGTTTACTGTTCATTAGGTAGAAGTGGGCCATCATAAAGGTCTTCATGCTGTTTTCATGTTAAGTAGGCTGAGGCTGAGGAGAAGGAGGAGGGGTTAGTCTTGCTATCTCATGGGTGGCAGAGGTAGAAGAAAATCTATGTGTAAGTGGAACCATGCAGTTCAAACCCATATTGCGTGTCCTTTCTAGACTGGGAGCAGCAGTCAGATATTCCTGCTTAAATTCTTCCTTTTATGTCAGTGAAGCGCATGTCCGTGGAAACAATCATTGGACCAGCAGATGTAGTAGGTACAGTTGACTTTCTATTTTTCTCCTTGATAAAAGCTGAGTGACTGCTCTTTTAATCTCCATGATAAAAGCTGAGTGACTGCTGAGATAAGCTCTTTCCCTCTATGGGCCTCAACTTCCCCATCTGTAAAATGAGGAATTTGGACTGGATGATTTCAATAATTGTAGTATTTAGCAATATGCCTTCATGTGATGCCAGTATTAACTTAACAACCACCACTACCATCAGTTATTGAACACCCACTGTGGGCCAGACGATGTGCTCTATGCCTTACTTTCATCATTATATTTAATCTTTACGACATCCATGTGACGGGAGTACTAATATTGTTCCCATTTTACAGAAAAGAAACCGAGACAGAGATGCGTCATGTGTTGCGGATAATGGCCACCAGTTCAATTCAACAAAAAACTCTCTGGGAGTTCCAAATGTGCCAGGCACATTGCAGGGCACTGCACCTGCAGGTATAGGCATTGCCCCAAAAAAGTCCCATGAGGGATCTGTGCTACCATCTCACCATTCCCGCATCCTCCGGCAGGATGGCACCTCACTGTGAAAGCAATGTCTGCGTGGATATTCCTTGGCATGTGAAGCTGGTTTGGGCTGGTTCTTTCATGCAGTACAATGTAGCCTTTCTGAATATTTAGCAAGTACAAAAGGTTTCCGTCTCTTGTTTGTATTCTCACACAGACCCATCTGCAGCCCCATCCCCTGACTGCCTATGCTTTGCCTCTTCTGATGTTCTTTTTCAGTAGCACTTATTTGTTATTCTTCTTTCTCTTTTCTGTTTTACTGTGTTTGTTAGCTATAGAAGGAAGATTAAACTAGGTACAAGGAGTTCTGTCTGCCTAGGAGACAGACTGGAATAGCAGCAAGGGCCTTTGTCTCTTGTAGGCCTGTGTGTGGACATGGTATGCCCAGGCTGCATGGCACAACTCTGACCTGGGCAATCAGGACATTTGTGTTCTCATTCAGGCTCTGCTGCTTGCTGCTGGGTGACCCCGGGTGTATCACCAAACCTGGCTGAGCCTGAAATTCTTTCCTATAAAATGCTTCTACTCATTCTGGTAGAGTCAGAGCTTGGGTTTACATGTTAGATTGATGGCTTACCAACTTTGCGACCTAGTGCAAGTCACTTAACTTCGGTTTTCATTTATGTAAAATGAGGACATACCCCAGGGTTGTTATGAAGATTAAGTTACATAATCCATGTAAGGTGCTTGGCACAATGCCTGGTGAATTGTAAGCTCTATGTAAATCTTAGCTATTAGTAATGACCATACTGATTAATGGACTTGATAGATGTAAAAAGCATTTTCTAAACTGTAAAGCACTGTACAAATGTTAGTCATTATTTTGGTGATAATTGTTATTTTGAAGTAAGAAAGAAAGGACTGTTGATAATCTTTACTTGCCAAGTCAGTTTTTAAAATAAAATTGGGTTTTATATTTATCTCCCTTAATAACATGCTTTTAATATTATATGAACTCCTCCTAGGGCATTATTGTTTCAGAATCTGGGCCATCAAAGGCCATCCCATGCCTTTATATACACAGAAATGGGAAGTCAGCCAAAAAGCTGTGTAATTTCATTTTACCCTTTGCTTTTCTCATTGAACTTGGTAGTTCCCGTCTAAATGAACTGAGTGTTGAGCTTTGAATTCTTCCATCAATAGTTCTAGCAAGCCAGTGTACATTGTGATTAAAATGTACTGACCCTCCTTAAAGAAATAAAATGCAACTAAACGGAAGGAAGGAATTAAATGGAGGAAAAAGGCAGTAAGGATAAAATAAATGCTCTGACAAGACATCATCCTGTTTGTGCAGTTAAAATCTGGTTGTGTGAAAAAATACATATTCAGATATATGGTACTGTCAGGGCGAGAAAAACATAGTAGAAAGGATCTGGGTGAGGGGACTGTAATCTTTTGTTTTGAAACTAGGAGTCTTTCTTGAGTAAGGTAAGTAAAGTGAAACCCTTTGCCATGCTGTTATTGGAGGAAAATAATAACAGCTTAGAAGACAGCTGTGTTATTTCAGACTTTTATTCTAGGTAGTTTTTGTGTTCCAGGGAGCAGGATTTTGACCTGCTTTATATTGAATCCATACAATAATAAGTGCTGTTATTGCCTGTCTCTGCTGCCAGGGCTCCCAAACGTGGTAGCCTCCATCCTCAAAGTCTGTGAAACAGCTTTGGATGCAAACAGAGATCTCAGAACTGTCCAACCACACCGTTCTTAATAATGAAGAACTTCTGGTGGTAAATATTTCAGGAGTGTCTCAGAAACATGGCAGTTATCAGCTGATTTGGAATGAATACCTGCTGTTATGTAGCATAATCTTTTGCAACTTTTTATATTGGTTTAAGATGCACTGGTGGGGTGGCTAGCTGGCCAGTTGTGTATATATCCCTCATCTCCATTATTGAGTGGGTGCTTCTTTAGGCATCTTCTTTTCCACTCTAGATTATTATTACCAGCATGTTAGGGGCTGTGTCATGTAAACACTTCCATTCAATAAAGCATTTATTGAGGACTTACTGTGTGTGTACATTTGGTGAGGGGTACTTTCTCAGACGAATAGTTCCCTGTTCCTACCCTTAAAATAATGGCCCTCAAACTTCAGTGTGCTTTAGAATCTTCTGGAGGGCCTACTGAAACTCAGATTGCTGGGTTTCACCACCGGAGTTTCTAATCAGTAGGTCTGGTTGAAGAGTGGCACTCCAGAAGGAACACCGAGAATTTCCATTTCCAATAAGTGCCCAGGTGAAGCTGATGCTACAGGTCTAGGGACAACTTTGAGAGCCATTGCCTTAGAGAACTTATGGCACAAATGGTGAGAAGTTCAGGCAACTGATTCTTATAAAAATCAGACTGAGAGGCATTAAGATGGAGACATAAAGAAAAGGCTCTGGCTGCAGAGAGAAGGGAGCAATTAATGCACAGTGTGGTGACCAGGAAAGATGGAGAGAGGTAGGGGCATCTGAGCAAGGCCTTGAAGCATGAGAACGAATTAGGCAGGTGGTAAAAGCTGCAAAAAGAAGTTTCTGTGAAATATAGAAGGTTAGGGGAACAGAAAAATATATTCAAAGGTTACCTTCTCTTCCTTTTCTTCCCTGGCCCAGGGCCATGAAAGGGAGCATAGGCTTAGATCCAAGGAAATCTCCTTTCACTTTGTATTTAAAAGCTCTGATTTAGGCTCTTATGGGGGCCAGGAATGAGACTGCAATTTTAATGGCAGTGCCCATCTCCCCTAGATCAAGGATGAAGAGACTCCATTTCCTGCAGAAACAAAAACGCCACCACTCAGTCCCCTCAGTCCCCTTTCAGGAACCTAAAAGAAATTAAAAATGGAATTAACAGTTCATCTGGAAACCCTCTTTTTAAAAATCATATGCTTAGCTCACTGTTCCATGAAAACTGTTTCTGAAACACCAGCTTAATGCTGCTGGCATCATATTCCTGTTCCATCCTTGTCTGACTGAGAGACCAAGGCAGCCGAGTGGCAGGGGATAAATGAGGTGTGGCAGGAACTTGGCCGGAGAGACTGAGGCAGGGAGAGCATGCCCTGCCCTCTGTGGAGGAGCCAGTAGTGTGAAGGAGTGTCCATGCCTCTTATTCAGGGATGGAGCCCACAGAGAAGGTCCCTGAAGCAAGGGAAGCAGCATCGGCTCATGAACGTTGGTTAAAATTTAGGCAGGCAGAGAGGGGCAGGAGAACCAACATACACAAAGACACGGTGACTGACCAGGGCCTGCTGTGTTTTGAGAACTGAGTAAAGTTGTGTCTAACTGGAGTTGTGTGGAATCAAGCAAGAAAGTTGGTCAGGGAAAGGCGGTGGAAGGTACTTTGTCTAGGTCAAAAGAATTACTTGTAATTCTCTGAACATGCCATGTTGTATCACATCTCTGCCCTTTGTCCAAGCTGTTCCCTCTACCCAGAATGCCCTTCCATTACCAACTCCATAAAACCAACTCCTGTTTTTACTTCAAAACTCAAAGCAGCTGTCACTTCCTTTGGGAAATGACGTAGTTTGGGTATTTGTCCCCATGCAAATCTCGTGTTGAAATGTAATCCCCAATGTTGGAGGTGGGGCCTGGTTGGAGGTGATTGGATCATGAGTGCAGATCCCTCATGAATGGCTTGGGACATTCCCTTGGAGAGAGTGAGCTCTGGCTCTGAGTTCACATGAGATCTGGCCATTTAAAAGTATGTGGCACCTCTGATGTGGTTTGGCTGTGTCCCTACGCAAATCTCATCTTAAATTGTAGCCTCTATAATCTTCACATATCATGGGAGGGACCTGTTGGGAGGTAATTGAATCATGGGGGCAGGTTTTTCCCATGCTGTTCTCGTGATAGTGAATAAGTCTCACGAGATCTGATGGTTTTATAAAGGGCAGTTCCCCTACACACGCTCTCTTGCCTGCCACCATGTAAGAGGTGACTTCATACCTCTTTGCTTTCCACCATGATTGTGAGGCCTCCCCAGCCATGTGGAACTGTGAGTCAATAAAACCTCTTTCCTTTGTAAATTACCCAGTCTCGGGTATGTCCTTATTAGCGGCGTGAGAGCAGACTAATACAACTACCTCCCCAACTCTCTCTCTCTCGCTCTTGCTCTGGCCATGTGATATGCCTGCTCCTGCTTCACCTTCCTCTATGAGTAAAAGCTCCCTGAGGCCTCCCTAGGAGCTGAGCAGATGCTGGCACCATGCTTCCTGTATAGCCTGCAGAACCACGAGCCAATTAAACCTCTTTTCTTTATAAAACACCCATTCAGATATTTCTTTATAGTAACGGACTAGTACAGGAAGCTTTCCTGGTTTTTAGATTGAGTTTCCTCATCCTCTGCTGGTTCTTATTATGCCTCATATTTCCTGCAAGAGTTGTACTTAATACCTTGTATTGGAACTATCTATTTACTTATTTACTCCTTCACTAATCACTTTTTCATTTATTCTATCAGTGATTTATTCATTTATTTAACAAATACATCCCGAGGACTGTGTGCCAGAAATTCTGCTAGACCTTAGGGAAACAGAACAAAACAAAATGAACACAGTCTCTACTACTTTCATGGACTCATAGAGCAGTGGGGGAGCTAGGCATTAAACAGGGAAGGGCAAAATGAGTATATAATTAGAGATTTTTTTTTTTTAGTTCTCCTGTGAACTCCTAAAGGATGTCAGTGGAGAATCTGGAGAAGTAGCATCTGGTCAGAGGGAAGATTATGAGCAAAGGGAAGCAATTTCACTTGGTCTATGATGCCTTTATATTTCCATGCTTTTAAGGATTTTTTATCCTTTTCAGTATCATAATGTTGTTCAACATGATGGAGGGAGACAAAGGCTGAAAATGCCAGCACTTGCCAAGCAGATGGATACCTGATTATAGCACTGCCTCTTGCAAGTTCTGCTAAATGTAGCACTTTCTCTTTGATGTCAGTGCCAAGGAGAGAGTTGTGATGGCTGAACCATATTCCATACCACATGGTGAAGCTAGAAAGTATCATTCTTCTATTGAGCCTCAAGTAGCATCTTAACCAAACAATGAGAATTACCTTGGTAGAGAAAGACCTGGAAGATAAGAGGGATGGAGCTAACCATTGGCAAATGTTGAAGAAAAAAGGACACTCAATTTGTGGATTTGCGATAAAGGGTAGTACGGTAGGGGTGGGAGGATGGTTAATCTTCCAGATGCACAAAATATGCCATTGCAGGAGTCTCTGTTTAAAGACACCAAGATACCCAGTGATCCTTGAGAGAATGAAGATGTTAAAAAGAGCCCTTATACAAGGATTAGAGTATCTTATTTAATAATATAGTTTCCACTATTGAGCACCTCCTGTGGCCTGGGCACTTTATGTATTAGCTAAATTAATCCCCAAAGCATCCCTGAAAATGAAAGTGTTACACCATTTTATAGGTAAGTTTGAATGCAATTAAGTCATTTGCCCAAGGCCACACATCTAGGAAGTGGTCTGACCAGGTTCAAATCAAATTACATCTTTTAGCAAGGCTTAAGCTTTTCACAGACTTCGTATCAGACTTTTAGTACCATGCTCGGTAAATGATACGGTTTGGCTGTGTCCCCACCCAACCCAAATCTCACCTTAAATTGTAGTTCCCATAATCCTCTCTTGTCATGGGAGGATCCTGGTGGGAAGTAATTGAATCAGAGGAGCAGTTACCCCTCATGCTGTTCTCATAATAGTGAGTTCTCACAAGATCTGATGGTTTTATAAGGGCCTTTTCCGCCTTTGCTTGGCACTTCTCCTTGCTAATGCCATGTGAAGAAGGACGTGTTTGCTTCTCCTTTTGCCATGATCGTAATTTTCCTGAGACCTCCCCTGCCTTGCAGAACTGCAAGTCAGTTAAACCTCTTTCCTTTATAAATTGCTCAGTCTCGGGTATTTCTTCATAGTAGCATGAGAATGGACGAATACAGTAAACATCATGGGTGGCAGAACCAATAATGTATTTTGATCACATTGGCCATGGGGAGCCCATGAAGTATCTTGGGGCAGGGGAAATGATGACATTATGGTTTTGACGGAAGAATCTGAAGGTGATGTGCGGGGTGGAACAGTGAGAGGTTTTCGTGCTCTGGTCTCTCTACCTAGAAATGAAATGAAGTAGGAGCTGCCAGGTCTATAATACTGGCTGAGATCTCATGAAGGAAAAAGCCCCAAATTACACACCTTGATGGTGGAGTTTAAGCTAAGGGAAATATATTTCTCTGGAGAAGGACCAGCCCAAGCACAAGTAACCATCTCTTCATCTATCAACCCACCCACCTATTCACTCATTCATTCATTTGTCCATCCATTTACCTATTCACCCACTCATCAATTTTTTTAGTTCTCACTCATCCATTGATCCAAACTCTTCAGCATCATTCACTTTCTTCTCTTCCTTTTTCTTTCTCCCCTTTACCACCCTGCCTAACTTCTCATTCCCTCTTTTCTACCCCATAAACATTACCCACTTAAATGATCTTCCTCCTTCAAGCTTCCATATTTTTCACCACCAGATTGCATATTTTGAAAGTACAGACTTTATTGCATTGTTTTTCTACTCAGAAACCTTTAGTGGCTCCTCATTGCTCATAAGACTGAAGTCAGGTGCCATGACAATCCCCCAACCCACTTCTTTCAAGCCCAGTGCCCCATGATCAGATCCCAGTGCACAAACCTCAAACTCATTGTTTTCTGAGCCTGGCCCATGCTTCCCTGTTTGTGTGCTTTTTCTCAAGCTGTTTGTATTCCTCAGGATGCCCTTCTTGGCCCTCTCTACCTCTAGAACCCTACCTTCTCTGGTTGAAATTTTATTTTGTGAGACTTTCTTTAAGCCCCATAACAAGGAGCTATTTCTTCCACTTTTGGAGTGCAAACTGTTTGGGGAGTCAGCTTATTCTAGTGTTAGTTTGAAGTCCAAGAGTCCTGGGTTAAAATCTTGGTTCTGCTACTTACTATCTGCATGACTAAGGGCAAGTTTTATACTTCTCTGAGCTCAGTTTCTGTGCCCATGAAGTGAAGGTATAGAAGTTATTGATGTCTACCTTATAAACTTACTGTGAGCATTAAATGAAAAACATGAAAATGCATAGCTAGTGCTCAACAAATACTTGTGAGTGGATAAATATAATCAGGTAAAATTTTTGCCAACATTCATCATTATATTTTTAAATAATATCATAATATTATGTTTATGAGAAAAATATTTTTTTCCAGCCCAAATCTAAGCTGTAAGTACAGGTCTTGACCAACCCTCAAATGTCAGACCTTCCCATAATCCCTGGCTCAAATGCATGCATGTGCCGTAAACTCAGCACCAGAATGCCTTTAGAAGCACTTCCAGCTGAAACCTATGACAACCTCAAGCCCTGGGGAACGTTCCTCTCACCTGTATGTTCTCTATTTGTGACACTTGAATATGTAGTCTGATACCATGGAGCAGAAGTCTGGCCTAGATTCACTATTACATTGTGTCTAGAGGTGACAACATGCTGCTGTAACAGGCAGAAAGCTTAGAGTCTTCAGGATCTGGCTTGGGATTTGGCTTGGAGTAGACACTTGGCTGGAGTTGGCTATAAGGAAGGATGAATCAATGGTTGAATAAATGGGGGATGGATGGATGATTGGATGGATAGTTGGATGCATAGAGGGTGATAGAGGTGGATGGATGGATAGACCGATGGATGGATGGGGGTGGTTGGATGGAAGATGGATAGATGGAGGGTAGATAGATGGAGGGTGAATGGATAAATGGATGGATAGATGGATAGATGAATGGATGGATGGTGATGAATGGATATGAATGGGATACTCATTCTCTTTGATTCAGTTAAAAGGCTGAGAAGTGGTGTAATGGGATGTGCAGTAGACTAAGAAGAGGGGACACAGGTTCCAGGCCAAACTTTTGTGGTTACTTTACTGTGTGCCCTAAGGCAAGTTATTTAAGTTGTCTGACGATCCCTTTTCTTAGTGTAAAACAACGGACTTAGATAAGATGATTTATATGACATCCTATAAGATTTTAGTCTTGTAATTCTATGACCCCATGGAGTAGAAAGTAGAGCAATATATTTATTTTTAACTTATCTTTAAAAATAGATAGAGGTATATGTAAATTTAGTTTTTTTTTTTCTAGAGACCAAAGCAGAGAAACACACACACTTCCTGACTCAGTTCTGTGCCCTTCCCGCCATTCAGCCCCATCTGACCTATGTCATTTCTCCATACCCACATCAGTTCCTGGGGGCAACAATGATTCTTTATTTGTCTCTACAATTGGTAAGACAACTTGAAGTCTTAGTGGAAAACTCAGACGTTAAAATTAGACAGCTCTAGTATAAAATTTTGGATTCTCCCACCTACTTGTGATATTCAGCAAGTTACTTTTCAGGCCCCTTTACCTGT
Source organism: Homo sapiens (assembly GCF_000001405.40). Lineage (NCBI taxonomy): Eukaryota > Metazoa > Chordata > Mammalia > Primates > Hominidae > Homo > Homo sapiens. The sequence goes on along the minus strand of NC_000001.11, from coordinate 58,136,815 downwards.
CACATGGTGTCACTGAATACCTCACAATGAGGATTAAAGAGAATATCTATGTCAGGAAGGAAATGATAGGTCTTATAACCTAGATAAATGAACATCTCCTCCCTCCCTTACCTTGGGCTCTGTGCAGAGATGCTATCAGTTCAGGAAACACCTGTTGAATCAATTAGGTTTGAATGCCATCCAGCCTCTGGGTTTTACTTGCTTTGCAGTTAATGCTTTCAATCTATCACCAACAAAGTAGGAAATGCAAATGTGAAGCTTTGGAAACGGCTTTTGCATGTTATAAATCTCGCATTTCAAGAGGCTGGCTGTGACTAGTGAGCTCAGCTTTCTTACTGTGTGGTCCAAAATTAATGCAGCCTTCAGTATTGTGAGACCACTGGACACTGATGCCCTAGGTTCTGATAGGCTGTGGACATGGGGCTGGTGGACACAGGGCGTGGGGGACATATGAAAATACTTCGGCAGCGTAGGAAGAGACCTCAGTCCCAGAATAAGTGGTGGCTAAGTTGCATGTCCCACTTGAAGCATTAGAAAATATGGGTGGTGGGTGGAGAAGGCCCCTCCACTACCAGCAGTATTCTTACACACAACTAGCTGCTTATTTACCTCAATTTCTACGGTCTGGAGCACTATTAACAGGGGACCTTTAGTTTCAGATGACCTGCTCCTGAATTGATTGTTGGAGTCTTGGGCACTGCTATGTTTTACTGCAACATTAAATATGCATGCTGCCTTGTTCTTCCTTTTCTTTCCCCTCAGCAAACACTTTGTTGCAGCGATCTGAGTGAATGTGACTGGTCTCTGGTGGTCTTGATGTTCCTGCATCTAGCCCTGCATTTTACACATGAGTACACTGCACCGCAGAGAGGGTAACTGAATGGCCCAGGGCTACAGAGGGAGTTGGTGGCAGACCTAGGATTGAAACCCAGGATTCCTGACTACAAGTCACAATCCCCTCAACATTCCACTGCTTATGACTGTATTCCCAAAGGGTCAGTAGAAACTGAAGCATGCTGAAAGCACCTCTTAACTCCCCCAAGATATCTTCCAAAAGTCCCTTAACAGTGTCCAAAATTTCTAGATTATATCTTTCCTTTGGTTGAAAGCAGCATTTCCTGAAGTATCCTTATTTGATGCTCTATAAAGCAAAAGGCACCTACAGCAAAAGGGATTGAGAAACCTTAACTGTACCCCAAACCTCAGTACCACACAACATACCCAGGTAACAAACTTACACATGCACCCCTAAATCTAAAATAAAAGTTAAAATTATCTTTAAAAATAAAGGTAAAATAAAATGAGTCAGCATTGAAATGTAATTATAAATTTCACAAAAATAAAAAAAAGTTCCTGTTTGTAGACAGGAACTCAGCACTGAGTACCAGGTACTCGGTACCTGGTAGCTAGTCAAGGCCTTCCTCAGTAAAGAAATCTCCCCATTTACCTTTGTTATTCCATGTTTCTCAAATTGATTGTCTATAATAACCTCATTCTTCCTTCTCCTTTATCCATTAATCTCTGTAGACACCTCTCAGAAGGAGGCTCCTGGAATGCACCTTGATAAACGGTGGTTTAGGACATGGACAGTCCTTGTTGGTATGTCTGGATTGCTTTAGAGAGATCATAATGACTGACAAGCTTCTAAGTTTTCAGAGCTGTCTCACATCCATGATCCCTTTTGATTTACAACAGCCCCTTCAGGAAGATAATGTATTTCCCTCAACAAAAAATGAGACTTAGAGGCTAATAGGATTGAAGACAGGATATGAGATTGGGATAGGGTTTCTGACAGCATGACCCACACCCACTTTTCCAGACCTCATCTCCACATGAAGCCAGCTTCTTAGTCTACCTTTACAGACCAGGTGCTGTCTCCTGGCCTTGATTCAATGATAGATTGTCATTTTTCATCCTGTCTACTGTGGTTTGAATGTATGGGTCCCTCCTAGATTCATGATATGGTTTGGCTCTGTGTCCCCACCCAAATCTCATGTTGAATTGTAATCCCCAGTGTTGGAGGTGGGGCCTGCTGGGAGGTGATTGGATCATGGGGGTGGTTTCTAATGGTTTAGCACCATCCTGCTAGTGCTTTCTCGTGATAGAGTTCTCACAATATCTGGTTGTTTAAAAAGTGTGTATCACCGTCCCCTTCACTGTCTCTCTCCTGCTGGCCATGTGAAATGTGCCTGCTTCTCCTTTACCTTCTGTCATGATTGTAAGTTTCCTGAGGCCTCCCCAGAAGAAGACGCCTGTACAGCCTGCAGAAGCATGAGCTGATTAAACCTCTTTTTTTTTTCAAATAAATTACCCAGTCTCAGTTTTGTCTTTATAGCAGTGTGAGAATGGACTAATACAATTTGTATGTTGGAACTGAAACCCCAAGGTGATGTTATTAAGAGGTGGGGCCTTTGAAATGTGATTAGATGACAAAGGTTCTTTCCTCATATATGGGATTGGTGGCTTATAAAAGAAACTTCAAATAGCTGCCTGGCCCTTTCATCTCTCCCAGCATGTGCGGATACAAGGCTTTTTTTTCTCCATGTTAGGATGCAGCAAGAAGGCACCATCTTGGAAGCAGACAGCAAGCCTTCACCAGATGCCAAATCTGCTGATGCTTTGATCTTAGACTTCCCAACGTTCAGAACTGTGAGAAATACATGTCTATTATTTATAAATTACCCATCTAAAATATTTTATTATAACAGTACAAATGGACTAAGAAAATACTTTATTTGATAACTAAGGAAAATGAGGCTCAAACAGGGAAAATGGGGTGTCCAGGGTCACACAGCTAATTAGTTAGTCATGGAGCTATAATCAAAACTCCAAGGTTCTGAGAAGACCATTGAGGATACAGGTCCTGTGTGCCTTGGGGGTGGGAAAGTAAGCCTGAAAAGAAGAGCAGAGCATGAAGAAAGGAGGAATTGACAGGCCCCAAAGATTAAATTGGCAATGTTGCTCATTACAAGCTCTGTGAAGAAAAATTGCATTCACTGATGCCACCAAGCTGGCTGTCCTTCTGCAATACCTGGCTGCCAAGTGTAAATGATCAAAGAACACTTGGAAACTTCACAGAGTGACCTATGCTTACTTGGAGGTTTCTCATTTGTCTAGTGACTTCATCTATTCAAAAAACAAGTGAGAGCCTTAAATCAGGATAAAAGGTCTCTGAACAACTAAAAGAGATCAATAAACTTATTGATCAATTGCTAAATAAATGAATCAGTGAAAGAAACATTTAGTATACTCTGGCCCTGGAAATCTGTTGGCAGGTAGAGACAAGACAGGGTCCCCATCTCCAAGGAGCTTAGAGATGAAGATGGGATTCAGACAGTTAAGCAAATGACTATAAGACCCTATGACAGAGATTATGAAAGATAACCCAGAGAGCAGGATCTCCAAGGAGGGGCATCCAAACCAGACAGATCAGATGAGGCATTAGCTAGGGAGTCCCAGAGAGTACGATTCCTGAGTGACCTTTTGAGGGTTGAACAGGAGTTAGCCAGGTGAAGAAGAGAGTAAGTAAAGGAAATGGAGCCTCTGTAGAAAAGCACAGAGACCATAAATAGCACAGTGTTAACTAGGCAGGGGTATAAGATGCATGGTGGGGAAAAAGCAAGTGTTGAGACTAAAAAAGTCGTTGTGCAACCAGAACAGAAAGCCCTTGTGTGCCAAACTAGGCCACTTCCAAAACCATAGCAGCTTTGATGCCAAGAATCAGAAATGGAAGAAGGGGACAGAGAAACATTCAGTTTTTAAGAAATAACTGATAATGATCTGTCAGCTTTTTGTATGTAAATACAGATATGCCCAAGAGAGTATAAGCTCGTGGGAATGTACAAAAGAAATCTCAGAATTTTGAATTGAGGGTCACACAATTGAGTTAACACTATTAAAGGGTTAGCTAACACTAACACAGATATCAGAACTGATATCTGGATTATGTTAATTCACTTTAATTGTGCTGTTATCCAGGGTGCGACCTACTACTTCAGTCTCCTATTAGGCTACAGACCAGCCAGGACAGTTTACCCAGGAGTCTACGTCTGAGCCTCATCCAGACAGCATCCTGGCGAGGCTGGCTCTCCCATATGTAGAAGGGGGATTCTCAGAGGAGCACAGAATCCTGTTTGTGTTACCCTGTCAAATAGGCCCTGCTAGGGAGAAAACAAGAAGTGAGATGCTCCTTCAGCTCCTTCAGGGGTGGCAGTTGATAGATCGAGATGTTTCATCTCACGCAGACTGCAGGCGGATCCTCAGAGATCCCTGGCTGTATGAGCAAGACAACCTACTTTTAAGACTGATGTTTTGAAAAAGATTGGCCCCGGGGGGAGGAGCCAAGATGGCCGAATAGGAACAGCTCCAGTCTACAGCTCCCAGCGTGAGCGACGCAGAAGACGGGTGATTTCTGCATTTCCATCTGAGGTACCGGGTTCATCTCACTAGGGAGTGCCAGACAGTGGGCGCAGGTCAGTGGGTGCGTGCACCGTGCGCGAGCTGAAGCAGGGTGAGGCATTGCCTCACTTGGGAAGCGCAAGGGGTCAGGGAGTTCCCTTTCTGAGTCAAAGAAATCGCTGACGGACCGCACCTGGAAAATCGGGTCACTCCCACCCGAATACTGCGCTTTTCCGACGGGCTTAAAAAACGGCGCACCACGAGATTATCTCCTGCACCTGGCTTGGAGGGTCCTACGCCCACGGAGTCTCGCTGATTGCTAGCCCAGCAGTCTGAGATCAAACTGCAAGGCGGCATTGAGGCTGGGGGAGGGGCGCCCGCCATTGCCCAGGCTTGATTAGGTAAAGAAAGCAGCCAGGAAGCTCGAACTGGGTGGAGCCCACCACAGCTCAAGGAGGCCTGCCTGCCTCTGTAGGCACCACCTCTGGGGGCAGGGCACAAACAAACAAAAAGACAGCAGTAACCTCTGCAGACTTAAATGTCCCTGTCTGACAGCTTTGAAGAGAGCAGTGGTTCTCCCAGCAAGCAGCTGGAGATCTGAGAACGGGCAGACTGCCTCCTCAAGTGGGTCCCTGACCCCTGACCCCCGAGCAGCCTAACTGGGAGGCACCCCCCAGCAGGGGCACACTGACACCTCACACGGCAGGGTACTCCAACAGACCTGCAGCTGAGGGTCCTCTCTGTTAGAAGGAAAACTAACAAACAGAAAGGACATCCACACCAAAAACCCATCTATACATCACCATCATCAAAGACCAAAAGTAGATAAAACCACAAAGATGGGGAAAAAACAGAACAGAAAAACTGGAAACTCTAAAAAGCAGAGCGCCTCTCCTCCTCCAAAGGAACGCAGTTCCTCACCAGCAATGGAACAAAGCTGGATGGAGAATGACTTTGACGAGCTGAGAGAAGAAGGCTTCAGACGATCAAATTACTCTGAGCTATGGGAGGACATTCAAACCAAAGGCAATGAAGTTGAAAACTTTGAAAAAAATTTAGAAGAATGTATAACTAGAATAACCAATAGAGAGAAGTGCTTAAAGGAGCTGATGGAGCTGAAAACCAAGGCTCGAGAACTACGTGAAGAATGCAGAAGCCTCAGGAGCCGATGCGATCAACTGGAAGAAAGGGTATCAGCAATGGAAGATGAAATGAATGAAATGAAGCGAGAAGGGAAGTCTAGAGAAAAAAGAATAAAAAGAAATGAGCAAAGCCTCCAAGAAATATGGGACTATGTGAAAAGACCAAATCTACGTCTGATTGGTGTACCTGAAAGTGATGGGGAGAATGGAACCAAGTTGGAAAACACTCTGCAGGATATTATCCAGGAGAACTTCCCCAATCTAGCAAGGCAGGCCAACGTTCAGATTCAGGAAATACAGAGAACGCCACAAAGATACTCCTCGAGAAGAGCAACTCCAAGACACATAATTGTCAGATTCACCAAAGTGGAAATGAAGGAAAAAATGTTAAGGGCAGCCAGAGAGAAAGGTCGGGTTACCCTCAAAGGGAAGCCCATCAGACTAACGGCGGATCTCTCGGCAGAAACCCTATAAGCCAGAAGAGAGTGGGGGCCAATATTCAACATTCTTAAAGAAAAGAATTTTCAACCCAGAATTTCATATCCAGCCAAACTAAGCTTCATAAGTGAAGGAGAAATAAAATACTTTACAGACAAGCAAATGCTGAGAGATTTTGTCACCACCAGGCCTGCCTTACAAGAGCTCCTGAAGGAAGGACTAAATATGGAAAGGAACAACCGGTACCAGCCGCTGCAAAATCATGCCAAAATGTAAAGACCATCAAGACTAGGAAGAAACTGCATCAACTAACGAGCAAAATCACCAGCTAACATCATAATGACAGGATCAAATTCACATATAACAATATTAATTTTAATTGTAAATGGACTAAATTCTCCAATTAAAAGGCACAGACTGGCAAGTTGGATAAAGAGTCAAGACCCATCAGTGTGCTGTATTCAGGAAACCCATCTCACGTGCAGAGACACACATAGGCTCAAAATAAAAGGATGGAGGAAGATCTACCAAGCAAATGGAAAACAAAAAAAGGCAGGGGTTGCAATCCTAGTCTCTGATAAAACAGACTTTAAACCAACAAAGATCAAAAGAGACAAAGAAGGCCATTACATAATGGTAAAGGGATCAATTCAACAAAAAGAGCTAACTATCCTAAATATATATGCACCCAATACAGGAGCACCCAGATTCATAAAGCAAGTCCTGAGTGACCTACAAAGAGACTTAGACTCCCACACATTAATAATGGGAGACTTTAACACCCCACTGTCAACATTAGACAGATCAACGAGACAGAAAGTCAACAAGGATACCCAGGAATTGAACTCAGCTCTGCACCAAGGGGACCTAATAGACATCTACAGAACTCTCCACCCCAAATCAACAGAATATACATTTTTTTCAGCACCACACCACACCTATTCCAAAATTGACCACATAGTTGGAAGTAAAGCTCTCCTCAGCAAATGTAAAAGAACAGAAATTATAACAAACTATCTCTCAGACCACAGTGCGATCAAACAGAACTCAGGATTAAGAATCTCACTCAAAGCCGCTCAACTACATGGAAACTGAACAACCTGCTCCTGAATGACTACTGGGTACATAACGAAATGAAGGCAGAAATAAAGATGTTCTTTGAAACCAACGAGAACAAAGACACAACATACCAGAATCTCTGGGACTCATTCAAAGCAGTGTGTAGAGGGAAATTTATAGCACTAAATGCCCACAAGAGAAAGCAGGAAAGATCCAAAATTGACACCGTAACATCACAATTAAAAGAACTAGAAAAGCAAGAGCAAACACATTCAAAAGCTAGCAGAAGGCAAGAAATAACTAAAATCAGAGCAGAACTGAAGGAAATAGAGACACAAAAAACCCTTCAAAAAATTAATGAATCCAGGAGCTGGTTTTTTGAAAGGATCAACAAAATTGATAGACCGCTAGCAAGACTAATAAAGAAAAAAAGAGAGAAGAATCAAATAGACACAATAAAAAATGATAAAGGGGATATCACCACCGATCCCACAGAAATACAAACTGCCATCAGGGAATACTACAAACACCTCTACGCAAATAAACTAGAAAATCTAGAAGAAATGGATAAATTCCTGGACACATACAGTCTCCCAAGACTAAACCAGGAAGAAGTTGAATCCCTGAATAGACCAATAACAGGATCTGAAATTGTGGCAATAATCAATAGCTTACCAACCAAAAAGAGTCCAGGACCAGATGGATTCACAGCCGAATTCTACCAGAGGTACAAGGAGGAACTGGTACCATTCCTTCTGAAACTATTCCAATCAATAGAAAAAGAGGGAATCCTCCCTAACTCATTTTATGAGGCCAGCATCATTCTGATACCAAAGCCGGGCAGAGACACAACCAAAAAAGAGAATTTTAGACCAATATCCTTGATGAACATTGATGCAAAAATCCTCAATAAAATACTAGCAAAACAAATCCAGCAGCACATCAAAAAGCTTATCCACCATGATCAAGTGGGCTTCATCCCTGGGATGCAAGGCTGGTTCAATATACGCAAATCAATAAATGTAATCCAGCATATAAACAGAGCCAAAGACAAAAACCACATGATTATCTCAATAGATGCAGAAAAAGCCTTTGACAAAATTCAACAACCCTTCATGCTAAAAACTCTCAATAAATTAGGTATTGATGGGACGTATTTAAAAATAATAAGAGCTATCTATGACAAACCCACAGCCAATATCATACTGAATGGGCAAAAACTGGAAGCATTCCCTTTGAAAACTGGCACAAGACAGGGATGCCCTCTCTCACCACTCCTATTCAACATAGTGTTGGACGTTCTGGCCAGGGCAATTAGGCAGAAGGAAATAAAGGGTATTCAATTAGGAAAAGAGGAAGTCAAATTGTCCCTGTTTGCAGACGACATGATTGTATATCTAGAAAACCCCATTGTCTCAGCCCAAAATCTCCTTAAGCTGATAAGCAACTTCAGCAAAGTCTCAGGATACAAAATCAATGTACAAAAATCACAGGCATTCTTATACACCAACAACAGACAAACAGAGAGCCAAATCATGAGTGAATTCCCATTCACAATTGCGTCAAAGAGAATAAAATACCTAGGAATCCAACTTACAAGGGATATGAAGGACCTCTTCAAGGAGAACTGCAAACCACTGCTCCAGGAAATAAAAGAGGATACAAACAAATGGAAGAACATTCCATGCTCATGGGTAGGAAGAATCAATATCGTGAAAATGGCCATACTGCCCAAGGTAATTTACAGATTCAATGCCATCCCCATCAAGCTACCAATGACTTTCTTCACACAATTGGAAAAAACTACTTTAAAGTTCATATGGAACCAAAAAAGAGCCCGCATAGCCAAGTCAATCCTAAGCCAAAAGAACAAGCTGGAGGCATCACACTACCTGACTTCAAACTATACTACAAGGCTACAGTAACCAAAACAGCATGGTACTGGTACCAAAACAGAGATATAGATCAATGGAACAGAACAGAGCCCTCAGAAATAACACCGCATATCTACAACTATGTGATCTTTGACAAACCTGAGAAAAACAAGCAATGGGGAAAGGATTCCCTATTTAATAAATGGTGCTGGGAAAACTGGCTAGCCATATGTAGAAAGCTGAAACTGGATCCGTTCCTTACACCTTATACAAAAATCAGTTCAAGATGGATGAAAGAGTTAAATGTTAGACCTAAAACCATAAAAACCCTAGAAGAAAACCTAGGCATTACCATTCAGGACATAGGCATGGGCAAGGACTTCATGTCTAAAACACCAAAAGCAATGGCAACAAAAGCCAAAATTGACAAATGGGATCTAATTAAACTAAAGAGCTTCTGCACAGCAAAAGAAACTACCATCAGAGTGAACAGGCAACCTACAAAATGGGAGAAAATTTTCGCAACCTACTCATCTGACAAAGGGCTAATATCCAGAATCTACAATGAACTCAAACAAATTTGCAGGAAAAAAACAAACAACCCCATCAAAAAGTGGGCGAGGAACATGAACAGACACTTCTCAAAAGAAGACATTTATGCAGCCAAGAAACACATGAAAAAATGCTCATCATCACTGGCCATCAGAGAAATGCAAATCAAAATCACAATGAGATACCATCTCACACCAGTTAGAATGGCAATCATTAAAAAGTCAGGAAACAACAGGTGCTGGAGAGGATGTGGAAAAATAGGAACACGTTTACACTGTTGGTGGGACTGTAAACTAGTTCAACCATTGTGGAAGTCAGTGTGGCGATTCCTCAGGGATCTAGAACTAGAAATACCATTTGACCCAGCCATCCCATTACTGGGTATATACCCAAATGACTATAAATAATGCTGCTATAAAGACACATGCACACGTATGTTTATTGCGGCATTATTCACAATAGCAAAGACTTGGAACCAACCCAAATGTCCAACAGTGATAGACTGGATTAAGAAAATGTGGCACATATACACCATGGAATACTATGCAGCCATAAAAAATGATGGGTTCATGTCCTTTGTAGGGACATGGATGCAATTGGAAATCATCATTCTCAGTAAACTATCGCAAGAACAAAAAACCAAACACCGCATATTCTCACTCCTAGGTGGGAATTGAACAATGAGATCACATGGACACAGGAAGGGGAATATCACACTCTGGGGACTGTTGTGGGGTGGGGGGTAGGGGGGGAGGGATAGCATCAGGAGATATACCTAATGCTAGATGACGAGTTAGTGGGTGCAGCGCACCAGCATGGCACATGTATACATATGTAACTAACCTGCACAATGTGCACATGTACCCTAAAACTTAAAGTATAATAAAAAAAAAAAAAGAAAAAAAGAAAAAGATTGGCCCCTTCTGAATGAGGAGTCATGGAACTGCTATGTGTTTCTTTCTCAGTGCTCTGGAAGGCTCATGGGTTCAAGCTGAGCCTCAAAGGGTTTCCCCCTACCCCGGGCTGCGGAGAGCCCTGGGGGAATTGGCTTCCTCAGGAGGCCGAGAAGTATTGAGGGGCTGGTGTGTTCCCTTCTTCGTTTCCTGTTACCCCAACAGGAATCTTGGCTCTGGTTAAGCAAATGGGTACAGCAGGGCAGCCATGCCAAGTGGGTTCTTTAAGGCCTTTTCTTTTTGGATAGCACATTCTGTGGGAAAAGGTCAGACTGATTTTATTCTAGGACCAAATAAGTTTGATGCTTGAAAGCTCTTTTTCATAGAGACAGAATGTTAGAGGGTGGAAGGGGTCTTATATAATGGAGTCCAGTGTTTAGTGAGCTCCCCTGCCTGCTCCCTTCCCCTGGCTCCTCCGTGGTAACAGCCTGTCCCCTTCTCCTTCCTCCTGGGGCCTGTCATAGAGATTTTAGGTTGTTTACTGACCCCCTCCACCCCAAAGCATGAGTGGAGTGATACTGTCATAAACCAGTCACGCCTCTCTGTATTTCTTTACCTTTCTGGTATTCCTATCCATAAAATGAGCTGATTGTACCTCATAGTGATCAGCAGAAGAGAATGCATTTAAATGTCCCATAAAAAGTGTTAAGGTGAGACTGGGCATGGTGGCTTATGCCTGTAATCCCAACACATTGGAAGGCTGAGACAGGTGGATTGTTTGAGCCTAGGAGTTCAAGACCAGCCTGGGCAATACAGTGGCACCTTGTCTCCGCAAAACATTTTTTTAAAAAGTATCCAAGCATGGTGGCATGCTCCTGTAGTCCCAGCTACTTGGGAGGCTGAGGTGAGAAGATCACTTGAGACTGGGAGGTTGAGGCTGCAATGAGCTGTGATTGCAAACACTGCACTCCAGCCTGGGTGACACAGGGAGATCCTGTCTCGAAAAAAAAAAAAAAAAGTATCAAGTGATATGTAAGTATTATGACTATTATTAGTAGTAGTATTAGCACTATGATTGTACTCTACTCAGAGATTTCTTAAATGAATGAAAGGAACTTATATTAACTAAACATTGGACTAAACTAAGATAAAATTTGCTGAATTTTAAATGCAACTGAACCAAAATTTATGTTTTTTACATTGTACAAACAAATAAACAAATTAGTGAAACATCCCACACAGTGAACTCCTGCCTAATCTTACTGAACCTCTGTGCTGTGTTTCAAGACCATTGAATTTTCTTTTAAATGCTTCTTCAGTGAGTTAATATTCCATGCAATGCAAGCCCCTAGTAAAATGCTTCATTTTATATTAATTTATAATTTCTATCTGTTGTTATCACATACATATCCCAGAAAAGTTAGAAAATCAGACCTTGAATCCCCCTTGATCAAATATAATAATAACGACAGCAACAATAATCATAATAGACAATGACAAGCAGAGTCTAGAACCAGATCTGTTAACGCCATGTTGTTTGCTTCATACTATAGCAGTTACCATGCTCTTTCTAACTACTTAGCATGTACTGGGTACATTGCTAATTGTTTTATGTGTGTGATCTCACTTAACCTTCAGAATGCTCTCCTATGAGGAATGTGACGTTATAATTCTTGTTTTATATATAAGGAAAATAAGGCTCAGAAATGCAAAGACACTGGCCTAAGCACACACAGATAACAGGTGACAGCTCTCACTGACTCCGCAATCTACATTCTTAAACTGCTATGCTAGACTCTTTCCTTGTATAAAATATGAGGAGACTCTAAGAGAAATCATGTATCCTAGTATTTAATCATTTCTCTGATGGCCTTCATATCTAGCTTATTACCTATAATTCATCACAAATATGCAAATAAAAAAGCAGATATCAAAATATTATTTAGGTAGATCAGTGTCCTGGCAAAGCACAGTCATGCAAACACAGGCAACTCATCTTTCCCCTGACACATACAGCCCCTAAATCATTACTGAATACAGCCCAGGGTAGCCGCCAATGTTGAAAATGATGACTTGACTTTGTACACCATATTTAAGGAAGCAGTGATGAAAATAACATATTGTAAAAGAGCATTATTTTCTAATAATAACTATTTAGAGTGCTGGTGCTTAAATCTGTAATTGACCATCTTTGTTTGAGTTTATGAGTCTGGGTAAATAAGGTGTTGGGATATATATATATGTGTGTGTGTATATATATATATATAATCTAAGAATATATATATAATCTGATAGCAACTATTTTATTCCACGTGCATCCCAAATCTACTGCTACAGGATGATACCAGATAAACATGCACGCACACATACTCAAACATTTATATACATATGTACATTCACAGTAACTGAGATGCTGAGATGACAAGTTACTATGAAAACCTAGATGTTTACACTTCATGTTTTTAAAATAGTCTATATCATTTCTACAATTCATATAATTCTTAAGACACTGACTGTCTTGCACCAAAGTTGTATGTGTGTGTGTGTGTATTAGTATATGGCTTCAAACCTCTGTCTTCCTCTCACATATATAACTGCAAAGCCTGAGTCTTATAAATGATTATTTCCCTTTGCTCAGTACTGGGCACAGAGTCTCAGACATGAATTGAATAAGACTTTATTTACGAACAGAGCCAGAAGAGACATAACAAATCGATCAGTCAAATTTCTTCATTTACCAGATGGGAAATTTGGGGATCAGAGATACTAAAGGCCTGGAGATCGGACAGCTAGTAAGGGCACACCAGGGCCCTAAGCAGGCCTTTTTACTTAGCACTGTGTGATTTCACAGAACAAAGGGGAACTATATGTTCTATAGAAGGTAAATTACGAGGCTGCCTAAAATTTGGGAGCTTCGTCAAGGTAAACTGTTTTCATCTTGATAAAAGAAGAAGAGAGCTCCCAAAATACTTTTCTTTTGACCTACTTAGCTATTATTCATCTCCCTCCAACCCCTGCCCCCATCACCAATTGGAAAATCCTGCTATATAGTTTATCATTCTATCTGCAGCTCTGGATTTAAAGATGCTTTCAGATGGAGTAAGGACTTAGGAAAATGTGCCCCAGGAAGACTCTGACAGACAATGAGACCATATGGCTTCGGTACCCTATCTCTCTCAATGTTTTGACACATCCTAATCTTTGGGAAACACAGCTGGGGACAGTGGAAAGAATGAGAGGAACAGTCCCATCCTATGGAGTCTTTTCTCTCCCCATGGGCCTAAATGCTGTCATGGCGATTACTTGCCCTTGTAGTCACCAGTCAGGGGCCAGCTCTAGGAAGGGGTGAATTGTGTAACAAAGACTGGATCTCATTCACCTTCAGAATATCTCAGAAAAATAAAGGCAGACATTTCTATTCCTATTTTATTTATAGGGAAGCAGAATGAAGATAAATTAGATTTCAGGACTTTCTCACTTCTGCCACTTACTGTTCTTTTTTTCCTGATATATTCTTCTCTTGCCTTCTCTTCCTAGGAAGCTCGTACTCATTCTCTAAACCCAGCTCATGGATGAAACTTATTTCTTCCGTAGTGCAATAACTGGTACAATATTTAAACTGTTGTGCTGTGATTTATCATGTATATGTCTCTATCCTTCAGAAATGTGTTAATTTTTAATAATAATCACCAAAGCCCTGTCAACACCCTTTCCTATACAAAGACATGAAGCTCAGAGAGGTTATGTGACTTTTTCAAGATCACCTAGTGAGGAAGTGATGGGGCCAATTCTTGGACACAAGGTGGTCAGCCTCCAAAACCTATTCTCTTTACTGTGGTGTGAAAATGCATTTTTTTTTTTTACAACAAATAACCCAGTTGTGAGGATGCATTTTACCCTTGGCTAACTCCTAATACCAATAACTACTAACTCCCATTGCTATAAGGCTTTGTGATTTACAAAGCCCTTTTCCACATACATCATCTCATTTGATCCATGTAACAAAGCTGCAAGGTGGGAGTTCCTCTATGTTTTAAAGTTTATTGCTTTACAGTTCAGGAAATGGAGGCTCAAAGAAGGGACTTGCCCAAAGTCATCCTACTATTTTGAGACAGCAAATTAGCAGGAAATTAGGCCCACATCTATTAACTCCAAATCCCTTTGCCATGTTGCAACAATTAATTAGGGTCCACAGTCAGTCTAACATGCAAAGTTAATGCAATGGTGGCACTATTTCCAAATAAACTGTGCATAGTGCTTAAGATACTAAGATATTCTCTTTGGTTCCAGATGTTGCCAGACTTTTCCTCTTTTGTCCATGGTATGGTACAATAAACAGTTCTGTACATCAAAGTCAAGTGAAAGGATCCCAGGCCTCAGAGCATGATCAAGAACAGTCCCATTTGTCTTCCGTGTATTTATCATATTGTTACATGACTTGACTTGGTGCTACAGAGAGGAACTTCTCAACCTTTTAGTTTTTCTCACAATATACACAAGGCACAGAGCCATGGGAGAACTCAGGGATATGCATAGTTCTGCATGTTCTAACTTCAACTTAACTCTTTTCGCTTCTACTTAAGAAGGCAAGGAAAGGAGTGAGAAGAGTATTATTAGAGGAAAATTCCAAATCGTTTACTTATTTTGAAATATATATATATGTATGCATGTACATTCCATGCTTGGTATCTTAGAGGTAACAAATGTTTCTGACACATCTTGGAACTGATTGGGACACACCTGTGTAGTGTGTTTCACTAACAGAGAACAGAAAGTTAACAATGGTAGGGCTCACAGTTGGGTCGGGCAGGCAGACATGAAGTATTGGCTATCATTCATGACAGGATGTCCTGGTGCAGATGATCCTCATGCTGGCAGAACTAAGAAAGAGTGAGGGGTGTATTCTAATTGGGAAGATGAAACAAATTTTGAGAGAGAACTGAATCTTTGACTTGAACCTACAGGGAGAAATGATATTTACTTAGGTGGTAGGGGAAATGGAGAAATAAGATGGGAGTATCATGAACATCATAAGATTTTCTCTTGGGCCTGGGGGAAGAATGTTAAGTAGCCCTTTTACAATCAGAATAGACATTTTGGAAGAAGGAGGTAGGAAATGAGGTCTGAAAAGTAGGTAGTACTTGCATACCCTGCTACTGTGTATGGACAGTGGGAAGCCATTAAAGATTTGGCATTGGGAGTGACATGATCCAGCTCATGTTTTGGAAGGTTACTCTGGCAGCTCTGATCCTCTGGTATCTTGATGATCATAACCTGAAAAAGAACCTTGTGGCATGAAGTGGAGAAATAGAAGTGCTAGTTGATGAGCTGGGAAAAAAAATCAAAGATCCCATTTTCCTACTTGTGTCAAGTCAAATAAATGGAGCCAGATAAACGTGGAAAAAAATCAAGATAGTAGCAAAATTGCCTGGAAGCAGAATGTTTTTCAAAGTCCCTAATGAGGTGTCAGTGAACCTAACGAGATGAAACTCCCTACCCTACACCTAGTTTTTCATGCTGTCCTTTTCATCCGGTCATAATTAAGTTGTGAAATTGGAATTATATCCTATCATTAAAGACAGAGGCCACCTTCGCCTGGCTCCTGCTTCTCCAAAGAAGGTAACTGAAAAGTACCCTCTTCCATTGCTTCTTGTCTCACTTATGTTTTGATGTGGCCGCAGGTGAGGGCTACGTCATTTTAGATTTTGATTAAAAAGGGACACGTGGTTCTTCTTCATTGATTTCAGTATTGAATTCTGTCATTCTTAGTTAGGAATTATTAGGCAGCTAAAGTTGGAAGGAAAATGCCATAGTCTTTTAGTGCCATTGCCTTGTTAGAAGAAGGAAAGGGTGGACAAGGGAAGGAAGCATCTTCCGTGGGCCAGACATTGTGCAGGGTTCTCTAGGTATGTTGGTATCCCTTTGGTTTCTTAAGGGTGTTGGCATAAGAGGTAAGCATTATTCCCATGTACAGGTGTGGAAACTGAGGTTCATAGGGGTAATA
Organism: Homo sapiens; assembly: GCF_000001405.40. Taxonomy (NCBI): domain Eukaryota; kingdom Metazoa; phylum Chordata; class Mammalia; order Primates; family Hominidae; genus Homo; species Homo sapiens. The sequence goes on along the minus strand of NC_000001.11, from coordinate 58,120,455 downwards.
AGCTTTTTATAAGGTCCCCTAACTGAGAATAGAATCCAGGCCAGGCTTATTCCAAACTCATGCTTTCTCTTCTTCGTTGTAATGAAAGATGATGACTACATTTGTATACAAACAGGGAGCACTGAGAGGGGGCTTAGATCTGTCAACTACTCCTCAATGGGTGCTTCCAGTGTCCCATGCTTTTCTAGGGCACTTTGAGGTCATTATTTATTCCTCCCAAAACCTTTTGAAGGGATATTACTTGCTACTCTTTAGGAGTGAGGAAATCGTGACTCAGAGAGTCTAAGTTATTTACCCCAAACCACACAGGAAGTCCAGATTCCACCTCACTACATTACCTTTCAAGTTGATATCTCTGCAGGACAAAATGCCTGATCACAAAAGACGAGGCCAGTAAAGGACATTTCAGGCTCTGGGACCAGCAATCAGGATGGAGAGAACTATTTGGAAGGCATATCCACTTTTCCAAATTTTGGAATGTGGGGATAGGGTGGGAAGGAAGGTGAGAGGCAGCAGAGGCTTGATCTGCACAGGGGAGCAGCTAGCTCTGTGTAGCATTAGTCTAGAGTCCCACAAGCGCATCTACGATAATGAACTTACTAAATAAATAGGAGCATCATGTCCCTTTCTCTGCAGGACTATTAAATAAACTTATTGAATAGATTCATAAAGCAATGACTGGAAACGTGGCTGCCCCAGGAAGAGGGCTGTCATGGATGCTCTGTTGTCCTATTTTCAGGCCTCTCTGCTCCCGACCTGGGGCAGCTCTGGCTATTTCTCTGCTCCAGCTTGCCTGGAGAAGGCCTGCTTTCCTCTCCAACAGCAATGAGTGGAGACTCAGGTTTCCAGGTCAGGCCCTGTTTTCTCTGCTCTGTCCATCATAGCTAGCCTGTTATAAAAATGTAAATGCAGGTCCATGATTCCCTATTTGAAACCTTAGGGGCTAGATGTGTGTCCGAAATTTAGAATGATTCAGCTCTGAGAAAGACAGGGATACATATATTACTTATTACATAATACCCCCTGCTGGGCTTGGGGCAGCACCCACAATTAAATACATTAATATTTCTGCTGTAAAACATATAACAAATAATGTAGGATGCATAACACTATAAGTAGCATTCTGTCAGTTCATGTCAGTTTGTGCCACCAAATTAGTTCAGGCCAGCTTAGATTTTGCTGCCAAATTGAATTAAGCATACACACACACACACACACACACACACACACGCACACACACACAATATTTGATTTTCAGAGCTCTTTGGATTTTATAATTCAGACAAGAGATTGCAGATAAATATTTGTTCAATGCTTGCTACTATTAAAATAGTAGTTCACATAGATTGAGTGCCTATTAAATGCCAGGTATTGTGCTGAGCAGTTTGCAAACATCTACTGCACAAGTGTATAAAAGGTTATAAGAAATTTAGCTGTTTGATGGTACTATCAAGAGCTTGATAGCTATGTATGGCTAATGGCTAGTATTGAACTAGTCACATGTGCCTAGTGGCTAGCTTACTGGATGGAACATTTCCATCAGAGCAGAAAGTTCGATTGGACAGCACTGGTGTGTAGGCTGTATTGTGTAGTGGTTATGAGCATGGGTTCTGGAGCTGTACTGCCCAGCACTGCTATTTCCGAGGTATGTGGTCTTTGTCAATTTTTCTTTACCTGTTGGTGCCTCAGTTTTCTTGTCTGTAAAAAGAGGATAAAAATAGTTCCTACTTCATTTGTGGTTATGAGGATTAAATGAGTTTATGAGGATATATATATGTATATATATGTACACTCATATGTATTGCTACAGGATCTTTATATATATATGTATTTTATATATATATATGTATATATATATAGTATTTTATATATATATGTATATATATATATGTATTTTATATATATGTATATATATGTATTTTATATATATATATGTGTGTGTGTGTGTGTGTATATATATATATATATATATATATATATATATATGCCTTAGGATAGTGCCTGGCATCATGAAGTTATCTCCTATAAGTATTATCTAGTATGATTATTATTAAAGATGAGGAAGTCAAAGCATAGAGAGATGGTTTTAACTCCACCTCCCAAGTCTTTGCTCTTAAGCTGAATGCGCTATAGCCTATTCTAACAAATGTCTGGGTCATCTCTACTCCTGTGTTGCTGAATGAGTGAGTGAGTGAGTGAATGAGGGAGTCTGAGAACACTGACCTAGAAGACAAGAACAAGGCCTGACCGGGTGCGGTGGCCCACTCCTGTAATTCTAGCACTTTGGAAGGCCAAGCCAAGAGGATTGCTTGAGCCCAGGAGTTCAAGACCAGCCTGGGCAATGTAAGGAGACATTGTCTCTACAAAACATTAAAAAAATAATAAGTTAGCAGGCATGGTGGCACATGTCTGTGATCCCAGCTACTCAGGAGGCTGAGGTAGGAGATCACTTGAGCCTGGGAAGTCGAGGCTATAGTGAGCCATGATTGCACCACTGCAGCACTCTAGCCTGGGTGACAGAGTGAGATCTTGTCCCCCGCCCCAAGAAAGAGCAATGTCTGTACCCCCACCTGGCCCAGAAAAAAAATATTAAAAAAAATATAAAAAAAAAAACAAAGCATGATATCTGGTCTTTAGGGTCAGCCTCAGATGTTGAAGCACACAGTGAAGCATGGCTATCCTTTATTGACTCAATTCATATCTTTTACTTGTTTCATTTTCCCGTTTCTAATCTTAATTTTTAAAAATCAGCCATAACAAGGCTACCATAAGGCATCAAACTTGCCTTCAGGACTATATATTTGGGATAATATGTTGATGCTTCATTGATTCTGTGTGACAGCGGTAGAAACAGAAAGACAGTGGAATCAAAGCTGCTGGTTTGAAGCCACGCAATGAAGCGTCAGATCATTTGGGAAAGAGGTCCCTGATGGAAGTGCCAGGATTTGGACATGAGCAATACCTGGTGTGGAAAGAGGTGGCAGTGTTTGCTGCAGGAGCTTCAGGCATGGAGTCAGATGGAATTAGGTCAGTCCTGAACCTAATATGGGCAACCATATCATATCACTTAAGCTTTTTGAGACTGTTTATCATCTGCAACATGGAATAATTATTCTGATTCTGCCTCTTTCACATATTGTCCTGAAGAACAAATGCAAACTAGAGTAAGACACTGTTAATTATAAAGTACTGGGCATGCATAAGTAACTTACTAGTACAGGCAACACGTTTCTTTTGGTAGGCAGGGAAGCCTCTGAGCTTTGGGAGAGGCAAATAGAAATATCCGGTGTGCATTAGTTGCTGAGATTGCTTAGTAAATGATACTCATCATTTTTGTGTGAGTGGCAGAAACAATACTGTAACATATGAGCTATTAATATTCACCAATAGATGAACAGAGCATTTTTGAGGAGCAAATGAGTATGCCAGCATTGACACTGCTCTTTTTGGGCTTTCTGAAAAGAAGGCTTAGAAGTCCACTCGCAAAGACAATACCTGTTAGGTTGTCCTTTGTGTTCTTTATAAAGTCATTTAGGATTTTGTGCCAATAAGAACCATCCCTTGTGTAACTTGTATTTTTTAATCAAAAAATGAGTTATGTCATCATTATTTTCTTTTTTGCCCTGGCAGCTAGCAAGCTTATGTTTTAATGCTTGCTTGCAGCTGTTACCTTATTCTTTTTTCATGATGTTTCAGAATTAAAGAACTGAATTATAGAGTGAAAAACTAGGAAGAAAGAATAGAGATTGAAGTCTAGCTTCTTTATTTTACAGAGGAAGAAATGGAAAATCTAGAGAGAGCAAGAGGAATGCTCAGGGACAGAGAGCCAGTCAGTGGTGGAACCAGGACTAGAATTGCTATCTCTGACTCACAGTCCACTCATCAGGCAAATCCTATTTAAAAGATACATGGCAAACATTGAAGAAGATCAAGGAAGTTAGATGAGTCTGATGTATATTGGAAGCACTTGATGAGGCCATTCACTATATGGATGGATTTGCTAGCAGATCCTGGAATACTTAAGGCCCTTGGCTACTGTATCAATTAGGAATGTGTGTAGCAACAAATCATAAACTCCCAATTTATAGTGGCTTAAACAAATAGTGCTTTTCTTTTCCTCACCTAAGAAGAAGTCCAGATATAGGCAGTTGTTAGCATTGGTTTAATTGTTCAAAGATGCTTCCAGGAACATAGCCTCTTTCTATCATTCTACTTCTTATTCACAAAGTGGTTGCCTCAGTGCCAGGCATTGTATTACTTTCCAGGAAGGAAGAAGGAGAAAAAGCTAAAGCTAAAGCTTTCTTAGAATTTTTTCAGCAGACTTCTACTTCCATTTAATTATTTAAAACTGTGTCACCTGGCCACAGTTAACTTCAAGGCAGGTTGACAAACTGAGTAATTTATTTATTTTTTTTTATTTTTATTTTTTTTGTATAGATGAATTGTTTAATATTAATTTTTTTTTTTTTTATACTCTAAGTTTTAGGGTACATGTGCACATTGTGCAGGTTAGTTACATATGTATACATGTGCCATGCTGGTGCGCTGCACCCACTAATGTGTCATCTAGCATTAGGTATATCTCCCAATGCTATCCCTCCCCCCTCCCCCGACCCCACCACAGTCCCCAGAGTGTGATATTCCCCTTCCTGTGTCCATGTGATCTCATTGTTCAATTCCCACCTATGAGTGAGAATATGCGGTGTTTGGTTTTTTGTTCTTGCGATAGTTTACTGAGAATGATGGTTTCCAGTTTCATCCATGTCCCTACAAAGGATATGAACTCATCATTTTTTATGGCTGCATAGTATTCCATGGTGTATATGTGCCACATTTTCTTAATCCAGTCTATCATTGTTGGACATTTGGGTTGGTTCCAAGTCTTTGCTATTGTGAATAGTGCCGCAATAAACATACGTGTGCATGTGTCTTTATAGCAGCATGATTTATACTCATTTGGGTATATACCCAGTAATGGGATGGCTGGGTCAAATGGTATTTCTAGTTCTAGATCCCTGAGGAATCGCCACACTGACTTCCACAATGGTTGAACTAGTTTACAGTCCCACCAACGGTGTAAAAGTGTTCCTATTTCTCCACATCCTCTCCAGCACCTGTTGTTTCCTGACTTTTTAATGATTGCCATTCTAACTGGTGTGAGATGATATCTCATAGTGGTTTTGATTTGCATTTCTCTGATGGCCAGTGATGATGAGCATTTCTTCATGTGTTTTTTGGCTGCATAAATGTCTTCTTTTGAGAAGTGTCTGTTCATGTCCTTCGCCCACTTTTTGATGGGGTTGTTTGTTTTTTTGTTGTAAATTTGTTTGAGTTCATTGTAGATTCTGGATATTAGCCCTTTGTCAGATGAGTAGGTTGCGAAAATTTTCTCCCATGTTGTAGGTTGCCTGTTCACTCTGATGGTAGTTTCTTTTGCTGTGCAGAAGCTCTTTAGTTTAATTAGATCCCATTTGTCAATTTTGTCTTCTGTTGCCATTGCTTTTGGAGTAATTTAACTTTCTAGCTTCTATCACTGGAGTGACATTAATTTTTTTTAACAAATGATGGGCGGGGCACAGACATAATCCAATCACAGTGGATGCCAACCATGAGCAACTGGCACAGTTGTAACAATACACACTGATTGAATATCAGCCTTGCTTATTGTAGGGGATGACGAGGGAGAAGAGGATTAAGGGCAGGTGTTGGCAGAGTCTTTGCAGTGTCTGCTGCTGTAAAATGTTCTACGTCAGGGTCAGCAAAGGATCAATAGTATGTGTTTTACACTTTGTGGCTTTATAGTCTCTGTTGCAGTTACTCTACTTTGCCATTGTTTTGTACAAGCAGCCATAGACACTACTTAAATAAATGGGCATAACAGTATTCCAATAAAACTTTACAGGAAGCCAGATTTGGCCTCTGGGCCATAGTTTGATGACCCCTGTTGTACATCCATCTCCATGTTAGGGATGTCCTGGCAATGAGACTGGAATGCAGGGTTGGTTATGTCTACCTATCTCTCTCAATGTTATCCAAAGGGTCATTGCCAACATTTTTTTGTTCGGGACTAGATAATCCTCCTTCCTGCATATGGATGAGAATGGATAGGAAGCCATTTCTTTCTCCTTCAGGAGGCTCTACATATGGTTACCTATCATTAATGATGATGTGGAAATTAACTTTTTTTCTTTTTTGAGATGGAGTCTCTCTCTGTTGCCCAGGCTGTAGTGCAGTGGCTTGATCTCAGCTCACTGCAACCTCCACCACCTCCCAGGTTCAAATGATTCTCCTGCCTCAGCCTCTTGAGTAGCTGGGATTACAGGCATGTGCCACCATGCCCAGGTAATTTTTTTTTTTTTTTTTTGTATTTTAGTAATTACGGGGTTTCACTCTGTTGGCCAGGCTGGTCTCGAACTCCTGACCTCAAGTAATCCGCCCACCTGGACCTCCCAAAGTGCTGGAATTACAGGTGTGAGCCATTGTACCTGGCCAGAAATTAACTTATAAGAGAGCAATCTTGTGTCTCTCACTTTGGGGGGGCACCTTCCTATATTATTCAAATATTTTCATCAAGAACAGTTATAATGCTTGGGAGATTAAATAAAATCATGATTGTGAAAGTGCTTTGTGAGCTCCAGAGCTGTACACAAAACTCCTACTGAAAACAGCCTTCCTCTCTGCAGATGCTCCCCGTACTTCAAGGACCTTCTATACTTTCCAAACACTGCACAAATTTCCTGGCATCAAATCTGCCCCTATTTGAGCTCCCCTTATCTTTCCTGCAGCAGCACAGTCTGCTTAGGGAGTGTGTTAATTACCACAATAGGGTCATTGAAGTTAGCTCTTCGTTTACAAAAACCCTCCAGGGATTCCAGTACACAAACACATGCCCACACTCATACACACACTCTCATTACACAGAAGTTTTTTTTGCCATTTGTGCTTCAGCTTTTGACAACAGATACTTTTATGATGGCAGAGTGGAAGATGCAGCTGAAAAGCTGGAACTTGGAGGAATCCGAAGTTTGCTAATGGCAAATGATACAGGCCTGTGTCAGTCAGTGGAGGAATTCGGGAAGGACACCATTCACCTGGGCATCACGAGCCACCAGGTTGCCCAAACCAGAATCCTTGGTACCATCTTTAACATGTCCCTCTCCCACGCACCCTCCAACCAATCAACAGCTCGGTCCTGTCTGGCCAGAATCCTGCCCATCATCTCATCTCCTTGCAAAATCCTCCTCATTCTCCACTCAGTCTGGGCATCATGTCTTCCAGGAAGCATTTCCTGACTTCTTGTGCCTGTTTCTGGCACCCTCCTCTGTGCCACGATCCTTTTGCAGCCCTCACCCTTCTGCTCTATAATTGCATGTTTGTCTGTTTCTCCCACTGGGCTGCAGGGTCTGTAAGGACAGAAAACATATGTGTCTTACTCATCTTCTATGCCCAACATGGTGAGTGCCACTTAACAAGAATTCAGTCAACATTCTATCCATTCATCTTCTCACAGGAAGCATTGTGTCTCAGAGCTGTGGCTTTTCTTTATCTTTAAAATCTTCAGGGAAGAGTGTCCCCACAGCCTTCCAGAGGCTTCCATTTTCTGCGTGGGGCATCATATTTACATCACACCACCCACTTGACAGGATCATGTACTTTAGGAGCATGTATGTGGTGCTTCATAAAATATGCCTGGCTGAAGGATTTTTAGAAAATTGTTCATGACATTTTCATTCATCATTCATTTAGGAAACATGTATTGAGTGCCTACTATGTGCTGAGCACTGAATTAGGACCTATGGTTTCCATGAAGAGTGACACAGAAATCAAACTATCATCCATGTGCTTTATGTGCCAGGCATTTTTTGCTAGAAACATATTGAAAGTTTCATTTAATCTTTGATATGCATCTTTGAGGTGCCTATCATTGTCTCCATTTTACTGGAGAGAAAATAGTCTCAGGTTTGGGATTACACAGCTGGGAGTTGAAAGAGTATAAAACATAGTCTCTGCTTTCAAAGAACTAATAGTTTAATTGGGAAAACATCTATTCATGCAGTTATTAATTCAAAAATGTATTTATTGAATGCCTATTTTATACTTGGCACTGTTATAGATTCTTTGCATATGGCCCTGAACAAGGCAAACAAGGTCATTGCTCTTAAGGAACTTTCATTCTTCAGAACAGGAGGGAGGCAATAAATAAGTTAACATATATGTGAGGAAATACTTTCCAACTGGAATGAGTAAAAGGGTGAGTGGGGATTGGAGGGGCTCCTCCAGTTGGAGTGGTCAGGGACAGGCTTCTTAAGGAGATGATGCCTGAGCTGAAACCTGCAGGGTGACAGTGACATGAGGGCCTGAGGGTGGAGAATGCTGGACAGAGGAAATAGTAGGTGCCAAGGCATTGCCACTGGGGGATAGGGAGAAAGGGTGCAAGTGACATGACAGAGTTAGACGGATGGTGTAGGTCGAGGTTTGTGTAAGGCCTTGGAGGCCATTATAAGGCTTTTGGATTTAATCTAAGTGCAGTAGATCATTACTGTAGCATCTTAAGCCATCAAGGAACTGGTACAACTTCCTAAAAACTAAACTTCTGGCTACTTTGTGGAGAAAGGATTATAGTAAGAGCAAGAAGGGAACCATGGAGGGCAGTTCAGAGCTGAGAGAGAGAGAGAATGATATTGATAGTTGTGGCTTGTATTAGGGCAGCCACAGAGGAAGTGGAGACAAGTGGATAGATCTAGGATGGAACAAAAGAGATAGAACTCAGATAAGAGCAGCAGGCGCAGTGATATGAGAACAGGACTTACTGTGGTACAAAGAAAAAGAACAGAGAAAGACATTTCCTCATTCTCTGATCCAACGTTTCCCAAAATGTGTTCCAAGTAAACACCATGTGCTGTGGAATGCTAAAAGTTGCTCTTGGAAAAAATATCAAATCCCTTTATTAAAAAATAATCTGGACAATACTGCATTCTGTATTGCAGAGGGATCATGAGCAAATAGCATATTCAAGGCTCTAGAAAACTCAGTAATGAAATCAATTTAGCTTTAATGTGGCTTTTCTCAAGTTTACTTGATTCCCAAAATCCTTTTTCACAGAACATCTTGTGCTGCTCTAGCATTTCATGGAGAAGGTTCAATGGGACAGAATGATCTAGAACAACATTCTTATTTGATTTGTGGCCAGATATGGCCCAGAGAGGAGAAGTAACTTGCCTGAGATTACACAGCTATGTGGAAGCAGAGTCTGGAAGAAATTCTAGCTTCTCTTGACTTCAGACACACTGTTTCTCCTACGCTAGGGTGCCATCTGAATTTGCAGAGACTTGTGCTATTTGTATTGATATGGTCTTGACTACAAATAACATACACCTCCACCCACTGCACAAAGAAAGCATTCTGCTGCACACACCACCCTCCCAGAAGGGCCCTAACTCAGAAATAGTGATGCACAATTCCCTGGCCAAGGTGTCAGGCTTATAAATTCTTACCCTAATGAAGAAAAGAGAGTTGTAAAAACTGCACACTGTGAGAAATGCAACAGTCTGGTGGCCTGAGGAGTTGAGGTACTATTGAAATATGTTTGCAAACTTAACTCCCCAGCAACTTCCTAAATAATAATGGGCTATAATGAAGTGATAACTAACATGAAGTCTAGACTCAGCAAAAACAAACCAGAAAGATTTTATATTCTAAGTTAGCAGAGATGCAACTTGATTGTAGTTCTTGATAAGCTCATGGGGGACCTGCCCATTGTTGCAAAGGATAAAGAGTGCCTCTCTGCTTTCTGGCTGCAGGACAAAGAGAGTGTGTTCTAGGATCAGATTTGAATCCAGGTTTTGCTATCACCTAGCTGGACAATAATGTGTGAGTGTTTTAACTTCTCTGGCCTCAATTTCTTCTTGTGAGATGGAGGTAAAGATGTCCTTGCAGGGCTGACACAAAAAGTAAATCAAATAATGTATGTCAGATACCTAGCCTGGTTGACTCAAGCTAGGTGCTCAGTAAATAAGAGCTGTTAGAATTATCAGTTAGTTTTTCCTTAACATCAATCATATCATTCTGATAGCATTTGCTACACATGACCTTGATGTTCAGCTTTTTGTTCACTTATTATTGGTGAAGACACTTTTAGTTGAAAATGACAGAATCCCACTTTGAACTAAGGTAAAAAAAAAGTATTGTGTTTTGCTTATTTGTTTTTTGAAAATATTAGATTGCTTTATGCCATTGTGACAAGGGCCACTGTGTGTAGTTTGGCTTCAGGGACAATTAGAATTAAGGGCTCAAATAAAGCCACAATTCTCCCTGACTCTGTGTCTTAATATTCTGTGGTCAGCTTCCTGAATGTGGAGAAGAATGGCTACCAACAATCCTTAAGGACACAACTGTAAGTTTTAAAGTTCTAGGGAGAGTCCCTGATTGGCCCAGAATGGGCCATCCCTGGACCAGGACCAATCAACCATGACCAGGTTGGGTAAACCTGTAAGAACATATGAGCATCTATTCATATCACATATCACAGTGTAGGAGAGAAGGATTACTAGGGAGAAGGCTTCAGACATGGAGTGGGGGCAGTGGTGGGCAGATCAAAAAATATTTATCTCCAAAACCTCCCCTTCTCTGCAGGAGATCTAGTAGGCAGCTGCTCTTTTTGCTTATTCAGCTTCCATTCCACCTCACTTTGTTTACTATACCCCCTTTGCCATTGGAGAAGTACCCCACTTCTTGCCGTGTGCTTTGGCTGGGAGTGTAACTCATCCTTCCTTGCCATCAGCCCATCCATAGCCTTACGCCCTTGGCCCACGTGAGTATGATGCAAGCTGGACAAATCAGACTCTAGCTTTTTTTAGGCTACTAAAAATACAAAGAGTGTTTGGTTTTTGAGAGGAATGACACCTGGGCTAGAGCAAAGTCATTCTGCTGACAGGCTTACGGAGTTGATCCATTAGTTCTCCTCACCAAGATCCCTAGAGCCTCCTGGCTCTTTCTTGCCTGAAGTCCGATTATTCAATTCTCTGATCCATTCTAGAGCTACCCTGAGTGATCTAGCAAATCCTGCTACTTGTTTAAGTCTGTTGGTGCTGGTTTCTGTTGCTTGCACCCAAAGATTCTTAACAGATGCAGGCAGAGGCCTGACCCTATTCACGTTAGTTCTTTCATGCCTCACACTGAGCCCACCTGGTATGCATATGCTCACAAAACATGTGTTAGACCTGGTGACTGCATAAATTCCTTTCATTTATTTCTCTCCAAATCTCCTGTCCCCTTTCTTCAAAGAGAATTCTAGATCAAACCCCATATGTGAAGCAGTTAAAAGGCTGAATTACTTGGGTGAGGAAAGCCCCAACACTAAAAGTTTAGGTTCCACCTTGTTTTTTAATAACATTTAAGGAAGCTCGGTGGTGTCTGGAACACAGTTTGAAAATCTTCAGACTTGAAGGTATTTCAGGTACTTTCCAATGCCTGAGTTGCCTTTGAATCTTGAGTGTGTCATCTTCTTTCAACCAGACTGTTCTCTGCATCTCAAGACTATTCCATTTGAGGCCCCAAAAGACACCTCTCTCTAAACTAGTATCTCTACTTAAGAGTGCTGTCAGTCTCATTCTCAGCTCAGTGTTTTACGTGTACTTGTCACTGGAGTATTCCATACTATTTGGGGCATCTGTATGTCATTAAGCATAAGGCAGCACAGGTTAATTGAAATTGTTATTTTTGGAATTGAAATTTTTTTAATTAATTGAAGCCATTCCCCAGAATAAAAATGTCATTTGCTTTGGAGCTCATAGCAGTGGCAATAAAAACTTAGTGCACATTGAGAGCACTGGTTCTCAAATGCATATTCCCGGGCACCATCTCTGAAGATGTGGGTTTAGTAAGGTTCCAATGGGTCTTAGGAATCTGCATTTGTGAAATAAAGAAAATAACTTTGCCACCATCATCAAGTTGTTTTCATTTCTAAATATGGTAGTATATTTAAGTTCTTAGTCGAGTACCTGGCTTCATCAGAAGCACTTGGTAAGTAAATCCACTATTGTTAGTTTTGTTCATGATATGGTTTCCAGTAGGCTCATTCAGTATGGATCCAAGCACTCACTGAAAGTAACAACCAGCCCTAAGGGTGGTATCTCTCAATTCTGTCTATCCCCACCTCTACTACATTAGTTCAACTTCACCCTCATCTCACACCTGTGACATTACCAGGGCCCTCCCTACAGCTTCAGTCTCCTCTGTTTGGGCTCATTCTCAAAAGAGTAGTGAGAATTATTTTACTAAAGCTCAAATCTGAGAGTTTTACCTTCTGCTGAAAATCCCGCCAGGGCTCCCCCTTGCTCTCAGAATGAAGTCTCAATTTCTCACCAGTGCTGTGTGCAGCCAGACTCATGAGTTCCTCTCTCACAGCAACTTTCTCTCTACTTCTCTTGCTGTCCATTGTCCAGTCCCCCTGAACAAACTGTGGGTCCTTCAGATTTCCCCATTCATTTTCCTCCCAGGTTTTGCCCATTTTTTTCCCTGTGTTTAAAACATGCTAGCTTGGCTGGGTGCAGTGGCTCACACCTGTAATCCCAGCACTTTGAGAGGCCAAGGTGGGTGGATCATCTGAGGTCAGGAGTTCAAGATCAGCCTGACCAACATGGAGAAACCCCGGCTGTACTAAAAATATAAAAATCAGCTGGGCGTGGTGGCAGGCACCTGTAATCCCAGGTACTTTGGAGGCTGAGGCTGGAGAATCACTTGAACCCGGGAGGCAGAGGTTGCAGTGAGCTGAGATTGCACCACTGCACTTCAGCATGGGTGACAAGAGCAAAACTCCATCTCAAAAACAAAACAAAAACAAAAACAAAAACAGAAAAAAAACATGCTAGCTTCCCTTTGGCCTGGCCAAAGGCTCTTCAGGTTTCTTTCTGGCTGTTCTGTGAAACCCTCCCTGGCACCCTGACTGCTAGGTTAGATTACTTTTTTTAGATTTTTTTTTTTTTTTTGGAGATGGAGTCTTGCTGTCACCCAGGTTGGAGTGCAGTGGCACGATCTCTGCTCACTGCAAACTCCGCCTCCTGGATTCAAGCGATTCTCCTGCTTCAGCCTCCCGAGTAGCGGGGATTACAGGTGCCCACCACCACGCCCAGCTACTTTTTTTTTTTTTTTTTTGTATTTTTAGTAGAGGGGGGTTTCATCATGTTAGCCAAGCTGATCTCAAACTCCTGAACTTGTGATCCACCTACCTCAGCCTCCCAAAGTGCTGGGATAACAGACGTGAGCCACTGCACCCGGCCCTTTTTATAGACTTTTACTGCATCCCATATCTCTATGTCCTAGCACTTATCACACTATATTGAAATTATCTGGCTATTTTTCTGGGTTTTTTTTTACTAGCTATTAAGCTCCAGGAGGCTGGGACTATGTTATTAACACCCTTTAATCTTCAGGGCCCAGCATAATGCCCAGCACATAGTAGATGTAGATGCTCAATAAATGCTTTAGAAGGAGGGAAAGAAAGAAAAAATAAAGGAAACAAGGAAGGAAGGAAGGAAAGGAGGAGGAAGGAAGGAGGGAGAGAGGAAGGGAAGGAGAAAGGGAAGGAGGAAGGAGGGAGGGAGGGAGGGAGGGATGAAGGAGGGAGGGAGGGAAGGCAATTTATTTCAGCTGGGCCCTAAACAGTGATGGAAGGCACAGAATATAGATTCAGCTCTATAGAGAAAAGAATTCATAAGACTTAGGTGGAGTCATGGTCTCAGTAAGATGGCTTAGTTCAAGGCTGGCCTCTCTCCTGGAAGACATCTACAACGTATGAGAAGGAGCACGGGATCCAAGTCATAAAGCCACAATTTCAGTGTTGCAACCCTATCGCTGAAAGCTCCCTGGGGTTGGCAAGTCACTTCATTTTCTGGGTCTTCAGTGTCTGATTTTAAAAATGGAGCTAATCATATCTACTCCAAATACTTTTATTGGGATTAAATAGGAAACCACTGGACAGGCACAAAGGCTCATGCCTGTATTTCCAACACTTTGGAAGGCTGAGGTAGGAGGATCCCTTGAGCCCAAGAGTTCAAGACCAGCCTGGGCAACATAATGAGACCCTGTCTCTACCAAAAACTTTTTTAAAAATTAGCTGGGTGTGGTGGTGTGTGTGCATGTAGTCCTAGATACTTCAGAGGCTGAGGCAGGAGGATTACCCGAATCCAGGAACTTGAGTCTGCAGTGAGCCATGATCCTACCACTGCACTCCAGCCTGGGCAACAGAGCGAGACTCAGTTTCTATGAAAGAGAGAGAGAAAGAGGAAGAAAGGAAAGAAAGAAAGAAAGAAAAGAAAGAAAGAGAAAGAAAAGAAGGAAGAAAGAAAAGGAAGGAAGGAAGGAAGGAAGGAAGGAAAACAAAAAACAAAAAACCAAAACAACAACACTATATTTTAAAATGTGTTGGAAAATTCTTTGCAAAGATATGTTCTTTGCCAGAACATAAGCTCCTTGAGGGATTTAACGTGAGCCATTTCTGTATTCCCAGTGCCAGGCCCATCATAAATGCTAAATGAAGTTTTGTTGAATAAATGAATGAATAAATAAGAGGATGACTGAATGGAGAGGAAAAGTGCTGGTTACGTGAACTAAGCAAATGGCAGAGAGGCTCAGAATTGCCTTTTTGGAGTGAGTTGCTTATACATGTTTCTCTTTCCTGCTGCATGGATAGTTTCTTGAAGTGGGGGGACTTTTTCTTACTTTCCTCATTATTCCTAAGTGCCTTGCACAGCCTTAGTCAGCATTTGATGAAACACTTAGGAATTTGAAGTGAATTTGTGCAACATTTTATAGTTTCCCAGTGGGTTGAAGCAGGTATGTATCATCATCGACATTTCATAAATGAGGAACCTGAAGTACAGAGATGTTTTGATGAACTCCTCATGTTTGCATCGATAGTAGGGGGCCAATTCAAGACTAGAACCCAAGTCTTCTCATTCTTAATCCAGTGCTTTTTCCCACCAGCCTCTTTGTTTGCTGGCGTCTCTCGTCAGCAGTATTTCTGATATGAAATGATGCATGCGGGCACCCAGCACATGGGGGCCCTAAAGCAATGGCAGCCCTTGTATTTATGGGCAATAAAGAGCTCCAGCAAGGAAGGTCCTTCTAATGGGTGCCGATGAGTGTTTACAGATGGGGTCTTGCTTTTAACTGAACAAGACCTAATTTTAAAATGCATTCAATTATTCTTAAGCCCAGAAGGCATTTAGAAATGACTGTTGCTAACCACCAAAACGAGGAACTGTTCTGTGACCTTTAGACTCTGCCTTCTTCAGCAGCCATCTTTTGCAGGGCTTGATCTCACATGGGAGTGCCAAAGCACAAAATTTATGGAGTCCTCAGAGTTTTTGTGGTCGCAAATCACAAGACTTTATCAAACAGAAAGGGAAGTTTGCCTTAGAGGGTGAGAACATACTTTTCAGACATAGCGATGGGAATACAAACAGGCCAATTCAATTTCTTTTGGGGTCATGGTTTGTAGCTTTATTGAATGTGCGACATTCCCTTTTTGAAAGTCCATAGGATGTTTTCACTTCAGAGAATAATTTCCACATCCCATTCGACACCAAGAAATGGGTAATTATTATATCACTTGGTGATTATTTATCACAGTTTGAATGAAAATAAATTGCTTCAAAGTGAAATCACATTACATGGTTACCTGTCTGCCCTATTAATTTTTCATTTAATTTTCTTTATTTTAATGTGCATACAAATGTTTGTGAGCTATCTCATCTGTCTCCCTCATAATTCCCTCCAATGGATTTAAATATGTTAAGAGAAATTAAATAAATAGGTTAAAGGAAGGCTCGGGATTTGGGAAATGGGGGTTTAGCTGAGAGTGGTAATTTGTTTCTGAACCGGCTGTCTCACTTCCTGTGGAACAGAAGCACACTGGAAAATTTAAAAAAATTGGGGAAAACACATGTATATTCCTACCATAGACCAGCTAGTTAGGGTACAAGTGTTGATTACTATATTTTCTGGATCCAGCAGTATCCACAGTGCCCACACTGGCAGTTTTCACCAGTGATTTCATTTCCACTAATAAAATCCACAGAACAGCACCGCTTTTCTCTCACCCTAAGAGTATGAAATCAGTCTTCCCTGAGCCTCCCCATTTCCACCTTAATCCTCCAAAGTCTGAAAATCTAGTTGAAAGGACTTGTCCAATTCAGTTTGATAAATACTAATTGAGGGTCCACTGTGTGCTAGAGGTTGGGATTTGGAAGTCCTTTCCCTCGGGGCTTCACCACCCGGTGGGGAGGCTTCTCTGGTGCATTTCCCTCTCTGTGCCTGGCACACTGCTATATGTATGTGATGAAACAGGGACAGGTTTCTTAGCAGCTGTTGGAGAATCCTTCTTAGAAATAGGTCCTCTTTATTGGGAATATCTTCTAGAAAAAGACTTCTTGGAGCAGAAGCTGATTCTTCAAAGGATCTGAAGGTGGGAACTGCTGACCTGGGATGTGAGGAGGGGTTTGTTGTTGCCCTTGAGTGGGAGGAAAAGTGAAAGGGTGAAGGAGTCAAGACATGACCTCCACGAAGAAAATGTACAAGCAAGTTACTAGGACTCAATTTGACAAGGAATGGAGTCATTGGAGGAATGGACAAAAAGACTGGCCCAAGGAAGAACAGAGACAGGGTGGAAGTTTGGGAGCATGAGGCAGGGCCCAAACTTGAGCAATGCAAGTAAGGCACTAATCTCCAGGGCAAAACTTAAGGGGATACTAACACCCAGTCATCAAGGTAAGTTAATACTCAATGCAATATTGTAAAAAATCAAAATTAAAGTCAGCAGTGTCAGAATGAACGCATTATCAAAAATGGAAATGGTGACAAGATCAGTAACAGTGCAGTATGGAGCCATACTGGAGCCTGAGGCAAAGAAAATCAGTCAGTCATACTGGTTCCTGTCTTTATTTAAATATTTAAACATTTAAATTTTGTTTTCAGTAGACTTCATTGAACCACAACCATGCCCATTCATTTTATTAATATGGGTATGGGTAGCCTTCGTGCTACGAAGACAAAGGTTGAGTAGTTGCAACAGAGTATATGGCCCACAAAACCTAGACTGTTTACACCCAGGCCCTTTACGGAGAAAGTTTTCCACCCTGTGTACTAGATAATCACTGGGATCCTCTCTGGTTCTGATACTTGCAAATTGTGTTTTCAGTTTTTTTATAGTAAGTTACTTTTGATGCAAGATGGGCTGTAGCCTTTGATGGTATTTTATTTTATGCTTTGTAAACATTTCATTTTGTATTAAAGTACATAAACTTTAATAGAGGTGCATTACCACGTATCGGGTGCCGCAGGAAGTCTTGGATGATAGCTTGGTACATGCATCCCTGTCTCTCCTCTCCCCTCCTGAACTGTGAGCTGGCATATAGTAGGCAGGGGTCCAGAATGGTGGACACCCCATAAGATCCAAACAGTTCTATCCAGTGAAGTACCCACCCTCAAATGGCAGTAGAGCCTCTTGGAAAAACACAGACAGACCCTCTGTTCCTGAAGGTAAGCCCTGTCCCTTGCCTTTATCTACTGCCAATTTTTGCATTTTCCTGAGGTTACTGTAAAATTCTACTCTGCATAATGTTGTCCCACTTTATTGGAAATGCTAGCTTCAGACAATGTGAAAATGATTGGTCGAGAGGCTTTGAATGATACTTACCAAGCTTTTCAGTACATTTTTTATCACATAGCATATATTCTAATTCATTAAATTCATTAAAAGAAAAAGGTGGGTGAGAATATGGGCAGCTTCCTATTCCCATTGTTATTTACAAAGCAGGTTTTTATTGTTCCAGTAAGAAAAAAATATTTTGGCAAGATGACATCTCTACTTTCTCTGGAAAAGTCCTCTTAAGGAATGCTATCATCTAAGATCTTGATATAAAAATAGCATTTGACCATCTCTGGATTAGAAAATATGGATTCAGGAGAAACCACCTCATCAGAGTTGGTTCCAGGACCATGGGGTAAGCAACAGGTTGGTTCTTGGTGTCTCCATTCCAGCAACCAGTTTCACTCTGAAGCTGCTTCCCCTCTAGAGAACTAAGTGCTCTCCGGGGTACAGCTTGATCACACTCTCTTTCTCCCACTTTATCTTCTCATTTCCCTCCTTTCCTCTCCCCATCAGACTACCTTTTCCTAGGTCCTATTCAACAGGACAGGAATGCATACTGTGCACCCATTGAGGGAGGCGGGACAGAGTTGTGGGTCAAAAGCGAGGGCCTTGGAGCCCAATAACTAGGTTTGATTCCAGGCTCCAAACCTGACTATCGGTGTAGCCTTGGAGAAGTGACTTAACCTTTCTGTGCCCCAATATTCTCATCTCTGAATTGGGCATTGAATAAGTTAATACATGAAAAGCACTCAGAAGAGCATGTGTCAAATGGTAAGCACCGAGTTAATACCTGCTACTGCTGTGTAGAAGGGCCTGTGGCAAGCATGATGGGGAGGTGTGTGTAGATGTCACAGCTGGAATGAACCTCAGGAATCTGATGGCCCAGGACCTGCAAACCTGGATCCTGGAGGAACCAACTCTCAGTCACTGTGGTGTGGAGAGGGAGGACTGCTGGTGGGACCTTAGGCCTTCAACTCCCCTTTCAGATGTGCTTTGTGTTTACTCTTCTGTTTGGGATCTGTTAGGGAGAAATGCTTTTACAGTTTAAACCAAAGTTTAGTTAATTGACCTATCTATATCCACTATATTTACAGATAAAGAAAGTTGCATAGAAGAAAAGTGACTGGCCCTAAGTCATATGTCAAATTAGTGATAGATTGGAATTAGAAATCAATCAATTAAAAATATTTGTTAATGCTTAATATGTGCCAGGCACTCTCTTGGGCCATAAGTTCAAAGCATTGTTTAGGGACCTCCATGGTTTCTTACATCAAGCAGGCTCCCTCATCCACTATTCAGGTAGCCCCGTTTTAATGTCCCCTTACCCCCCAGGTACCCCTAGGTTGCTCTCACTCTCTGGCCTGAACTGTTCACCTCATTTGTTCCTGAGTGCCTTGTCCCATACGATTACTGATCCCCCTAGCAACTGACCCCAGTGACAGGCTTTTCTTTTTGTATTTTTATTTTATTTTATTTTATTTTATTTTTTGAGACGGAGTCTCGCTCTGTCGCCCAGGCTGGAGTGCAGTGGCATGACCTCGGCTCACTGCCAGCTCCGCCTTCTAGGTTCACACCATTCTCCTGCCTCAGCCTCCCAAGTAGCTGGGACTACAGGTGCCCACCACCATGCCCGGCTAATTTTTTGTGTTTTTTAGTAGAGACAGGGTTTCACCGTGTTAGCCAGGATGGTCTGGATCTCCTGACCTCGTGATCCACCTGCCTCGGCCTCCTAAAATGTTGGGATTACAGGTGTGAGCCACCGCGCCCGGCTGTGACTGGCTTTTCTATTCACAGCCTTACTGTGTTGGGTCTGCATTAGGCTGCAAACAGGAAAGTATCCCTTCCTCTGATCTCTCATTTCCCTCCTTGACTTCAGTTTCTTCTGTGTAGTTGATGTTTTGGACCTTACCCGACTCTTTTGGACCCTAGGACCCTTGACCTCAAGAACAAGATCCACATCAAATACATTCATTCATTCAACAAAGTTTATTGTGTACCTACTTTGTTCCAGACGTGTTCTAGGTATGGATACTGCAATGAATCAGAGAAAAATCCGTCTCCACTGGGGCTTACAGATCAGTGAATGGTGATATTCAATAATCAAAATAAATGAATAAAACATGTAGTATGATATGTGCTTATTAGTGATACAGGGGTAGAAAACAGTTTGGTGGGACCTCAAAAAGTTAAACATAGAATTACCATAATCCAGCAATTTGACTTCTGGGTGTATACTCAAAAGAACTGAAAGCAAGGACTCAAAGAGATATGCGTACACACATGTTCACAGAAGCATTATGCACAATAGTCTAAAAGCTGAAATATCCCAAATAGCCATCAATGAGATGAATGAATAAACAAAATGTAGTACAGGTATATATATACAGTGAAATATTATTCACCCCTTAAAGAGGAATAAAATTCTGACACAGGCTACAATATGCATGAATCATAAAGATGTTAGATTATATAATTCCACTTATGTGGGATATTTTAAATAGGCCAATTCATAGACACAGAACATAGAATTGTGGTTTCCAAGGATTGGTGAGGCAGGAACAGGAAGTTATTTTCTAATAAGTACAGAGTTCCTGTTTGGGATGATGGAAAAGTTCTGGATATGAATAGTGGTGAAAGGTTTTCAACATTGTGAACACACTTAATGCCACTGAATTTTATATTTAAAATTTGTTAAAATGGTAAATTTTAGGTTGTGTATCTTTTACCACGATAAAAAAAAATGCTACAGGCAAAAATAAAGCTTGACAGAAAGAAGTGTCAGGGTGGTGATAAGCAAGTTATGTTTAAATGGAAGGAATTGCTGAGCAGATGACACTTGAGCAAAGACCAGAAGAAGCAAGCCACATGGCTGTCTGGAAGAAAAGTGTCCCAAGGAAAGGGACATCACATGCAAGAGCAGCATGATAAGACAGACCAGAGTGGTGTTCAAAACTGAGCCCGTCCTGGACGTGAGTCTCAGTTCCACACTTATTTTCTGGGTGACCTTGCACAATAAACTTTTTTCCTGTGCAAGTTGTTTACTTGTATATAAGAGGGATATTAATACCTACCTCAATTGGCATTATTAGGAGTCAGTGAAATAATGCATGAGAGATCCTTCAGCACAGAGCGTGGCACCAGACTGACTTTTAGCCTGTGGTGCCAGCCCAGCCATCCCTGGGTCTATGGCTGGTGTCTGCTCTGATATGTTCTTCTTGGTGCCTGTGCCATGCTGTTTAAGTATTGTGCCCTCACACCTGCCTGGCGCATAGCAAATGGTGAATAAATGGCCAATAATTATTCTTTCCTGACTCCTTGATTTTGATTCAGGCAGTGTTAAAGTACATGAAAGCAGTGAACTCAGTACGTAGACGGTCATCAATAAATGTTACTTTTCTTCATTCATTCTCTCACTCATTCTTTCATCTGTCACAAATAAATGAGAGGCAGTCCCTGTTGTCAAGATGCTTGTTATCTTACAACCAGGAAGTCTAGTAAAATATGCAGGATAAGCCCCTAACCATCTCTGGGCACTCAGGGAGAGAGATGTGGCCAGAAGTACACAGAAAGTTCTGTCTGAGAACTGGGGTTCCCAACCTGGGTGAGACTGGGGTTCGTGACCAGGGAAAAGAGCCAGCATGGGAACTATAGTGGGAACATGGCTCATGGATGGAAAAGGAGATCACAGCTGTGGACAAGAATCATTCAGCTGAAATATTTCCAGTCTTACTGATACTGCTCTAGGACATCTTGAAACACCCATTTCTGAGGGGCCTGGGTAGAGTTGTTCTGGATCTCTTCCATTTGCCCCTCCATGGCCTCTGTCTCTTCTTCTCCACCTGGCTCTGTGCCACTGGAGGCTTCCTGGACTTCTGCATTATTTTGCTTGGCTGCCATAACAAAACACCATCAACTGGGTGGCTCAAACAATGGACATTTATTTTCTTACAGTTTTGAGGGCTAGAAGTCTGACATGAAAATGTTGGTGCAGCTGACTTCTTCTAAGGCCTCTCCTTCCTTGACTTATAGATTGCCACCTTCTCCGGGGCTTCACGTTGCCTTCCTTCTGTACATGTTTGTGTCTGAATTTCCTCTTTTTCAAGGACGCTAGTCAAATCAGATGAGGGCCTACCCTAATTACTGCATTTTAACATAATTACCTCTTTCCAGACCCTATTGTTGTATACAGACACATTCTAGGGTACTGGAGGTTAGGACTTCAACATATGAATTTTGGGAACACAATTTATCCTATAATAGTTCATGACTCCTGGTTCAGTGTGGCCAACAGGGAGCATCAGCAGAGGGTTGGAGGGTGGGAGAGAGTAAGTTGAGGTATTGATCCTCTCATTACTGGCCTATGGTGTCACTGAGGACTAAACATCACAGCTCCTGTCAGGCAGCCCTGTCTATGCAAGCCACCACCACCCTTCTCTAGGGTCCAGAACCACTGTCTCCCCTTGCTCTTTCAGAGGTAGGGTGGCGATGGAGCCCAGTATTACTATTCCTGTTTTCCCTTTGCTTGTCCTACACCTTTGTAAATAGGCCTTCTGTTAAACTCCCTTCGTGTTACCCAATTTGAGTGTGCCATCCGTTTCCTGCTGAGATCCTGAATGCTGGGGGAGGGGTGAAAGACGCAAAGAGAAATTATTTCACTTTAATGCTTATGTGAGTTTTGCAGGCAAAAGACATGGCCTGTATGTATTTTCTTAAACGTGTTTTCTTAGGGCTTGTTGTGGCATCCTCTACTGTCTGCTTTGTCCACTAACACTGGAGTAAATGGTCAATAAATGTTTCATTTTCTTTCCTAAATACAAAAGAGTCCCTGATGTAACTATTTTGGAACTGCCCGTGGGAATCCTGAGAGGAAGCAGCAAGGAAAGACAGCTAGGGTCTTGTGCCAGGGACCTAGGTGGGTCACAAACAGGCCCTGGGCTTGGTGGCTTTCAAGCTGTTTTTCTATTTTCCACCCTGTGTGCCAATCAGCAAAACAGAGACAGTAGCGGCAGCCTGTCCCCCTCCCACCACAGCAGTTGAGCTGAGAGAGTGGAGGTGCAGACACTAGTCACTTCTTTAACTCCATCTGGTACCAACACCCCCTACCTCGGAACTCTACCATACTGGCTTCTTGTGGTTCCCTGAACACTTCCTGCTCTTCTTTGCCTTAAGGTCTCATTATCTTTTTTTCTATCTGGGAGACTCACCTCTCAATTTACCTGATGAACTCCTACTCATCCTTTGGAGTTCCATGCCAACTCTTCTTCCCCCTCAGGGTAAAAAAAAAAGGCTTCCTGAACATCCCCCGTTCCCAATGAGGATCAGGTCACCCAGTACCTGTTTTCAACCTTCCTGGAGCTTCTCTTTCACATCATTAAAACTGTGATTAAACCATCATCTTAAAATTAATGGCTTACCTTTTGTATTTCCCATTAGATGGAAGCTCCATGAGGGCAGAGGTTGTGTCTTTCTTGTAACAGTCAGTACAGTGTGTAAGAGCAGATGGCCGGGGTGTGAATTCTGCTCCATCACTTGCCAGCTGTGTGACCTTGGGCATATGACTCAGTCTCTGTGCCTCAGTTTCCACATTTGTGAAGTGGGGGTAAAAATAGGACCTATTTCCTAGGGCCATTGTGGAGATTCAATATGTTGATAAATGTAAAGCATGTATGAGAGGGCCAAGCACATAAATGTTGTCAATTACTACTGAATTCTCAGTTGGCCCTCAACAAATAACTGTGGAATGAAAAAGGGTTAAGGGTAAATTGCTGGACAGAGCTCAGAAAAGGCCTGCCCACTTCAGTGTGGTCTTTCTGTGATTTGACAGCCGCAGATTCACATGACAGGGGAGACTCCATGGCAATACTTACTATACCAGGGAATGTGCCCTTGAAAGTTGTACAAACACAATGCAGTCTCTGCAGTGAGAAGGCTGGCCAGTCAGCCAGTGCTGGGATCGCTGGGTCCTATGGAGAGGGATGCAGTTAACACATGTGAATCCAGCATCAGAGCCCTCCATGTATGGTCCATGGCAGCCCTGAAGAGAAAGTAGCAGAGATATATTGGCTCTTTGCCCTCAAGGCATTGGTAACTTGGGGAATGTTTGGAAACCACACTTTCTTCTTAGTTTCCTTATCTGCCTTCACATTGCAACTAGAAAGAAGACTTTTCTGGGTATATGTTATGGGGCAAGTGTTGAACCATCTCAATTTGTGGTTTCCTCATTCGTTAAATACAGGCAATAACAAAGTATCATTGTCTTAATGACTACTTTTATCCAATATCTAATGACCTCATTAACAGACGTGTAAATAAGCGCACACACACATACACACATACAAGTGATCTCACACCACGGCTGAAACAGCTATCACAAAGCATATGCATTGAATCTCACCCTCATTAGCTAGAGAAGTCTGTAAGGCCATCACTTATGATCAATTTATACCTACTTTACAGTTATTATAATCCTGATTGTCTGGTTTCTTGGTTTGAAACACATTAGAAATTATCATAGTATGATAGTAAACCAAAAAGAGGCCATGGAAAAGGGATAATACTGCCAGAGGCAGAGACACCAACCACACAAAGTGACATTTATTTTTAAATCTTAGTAGTTTGGGGTCATTTCCTTTAAGGACAAAGCTCTTCAAAATCTCTTTAGTAATATCATTTCTTTTTAAAGTCGTAATATTTTGACACTAGAAGAACCTAAGCAATGCTCTTGTCCGAAGCCCTTATTTTCTAACGAGAGAAGGGTTAGGGTCGCAAATACACCCAATCACCCCACAGCTGAATCTGGGTAGAGCCCCCACCACCTGGAAGTCCATGTATGTTCTTCTAACTTTCTCACTTTGCCTCCTCCTTTTATTGGTCAACACATACATGGTAAACATCATTCAATCCCCAGGCCTCCACTGGCCACATAATTTCTGACCACCAGGGACTTACATGGTGTCAGGAATCTTTCCCTTCATGAATTTAACTGCTGAATCATTACCTTTTTAGGCATTTTTAGATATGATAATTGGTACCTTCAGGCTCAACTTCTATGTAAAAGCTGAGGACACAGAGATCTTCATTCAGTACATCTTCCTTGTGACCCAGTTCCACAGCAATGCATGTCCGGGGTGGGATACTTAACAATATCCGTCAGGAAGAATTCCTTGGTAAGTGCTCGCCATGTGCTCAACCTATTGTTATGGAGTCTGAGAGTGATAGGGAAAGAACAGACCGATGTAACTCCAGCCCTCCAGGAAATTATAATCTGAGAGATTAACAGAAACAAATGATGGGAAGGAGCCTCCAAGGCAAGCAGGTTGCTGAGTGGGAGACAAGGACACTGAAGCCTGCTCTGTCCTCTACTGTGGCTCTTCTGTGACCTATGGGTAGTCAGCTAACCTCTGTGTGCCTTATCTGTAGAATGCGGATAGTACTTATACCGATCCCTTGTGGTGGTTGTGAGCATTGAAGAAAATAACACCCAGTACATAAAATATTTCCTGGAACATAGTCAACACTCAAAAAATACTAAAATTAGAGTTTCCGATTCCACTATAGAGACTAAGTACATGCGAAGAGTTTGTTTAGTCATATATCAAACATTTATTGAGCATCTTCTGTGAGCCAGGCTCTGTGCTGGGGGATGAGAATAAGGAGGTTAATAAAACAGACCATGTCCTGAGACAACTTACAGTCGAGAGCCGGGGTCAGCGAACTCTAGCCCCAGGCCCAAATTCCACCCAGCGCCTATTTTTCCAAATCAAGTGTCATTGACAGAGTTGGGCAGTTGCAATAGAGACTGTAAGGTCCCAAAAACCTAAAATGCTTCTCTAAGTCCCTTTACAGAAAAAGTTTGCCAACCTTAGTTTAAGGACTTGCAACTTTAAGTGTGGTCTTTGGACCACAGTGTCAGCATCAGCTGAGTGGAGTGATAGAAATACAACATCTCAGGCCTACATCCCAGACTGACTGAATCCAAGTCTGCATTTTAATGCCACCATAGGGTTCTTTAGATGCACCTTAAAGTTTAATAAGCACTACTCTAGCACATGCCAAAGATGCTTAAATAAATCTCTCACTGAGATACACTGAAGAGGTGTTATGATAGAGAGATGGGTAAAGGACCATTTCTTGAACATTTACTTTGAGCCAGAGGCTGGCCTAAATGTTTTATATACAGTACCTTATTCAGTCCTAATAGTGGTTAAGAAGAGGATACTACGTTTAACTTCACTTGAAGAAACCAGAACTTAAAGAGGCTGGGTGATTTTGACCAAGGCTGTCAGTAAATGAATGGCAGAGCTGGAGTTTGAATCCTGGTTAGCAACTGCAAGCCACTTTCTCTTCATCATCATGTTGTTCTGCTTCCTAAAAGCAAAACAAATGAGGAAGTAAGGAAGAATTTCACAGAGAAATCTTACAAACTTGGCTCAGTGCCTACCTGTATCAGTCAGGGTCCAATCAGGAAAACAATCCACTCAAAGAATGTAAAACAAAGGATATTTAATTCGGAGAGTTGGTTACACAGGGATGACAGAGCTGCAAAGCTACAAAGCCATCAGGAGATTGTGAGGCACCCAGAGATTAATCACAGCAGGAAGGTGCTGCCACCCTTAAGTGGAGGGACAGAGCAATGGGGTGGTGTCACTGGAGCCCAGCAGCCACAGTGACTTTGGGGAGCTGCACCCCAGTAGGCCTATCCAGTAGAGGGTCTAGCCATGGGACACAGAGCTGCTGGTGGTGCTGCCCAAGGTAGAGACCGGGGAGTAATGAGATTCCACCAATCAGGACCATCTTTCACTGGTGTTTCCCCACTAGCTAGAAACCAGCTAATAATGCAGGAGCCTGGAACACATAGCCTGCAGGGATCAGGATTCTGTAGTACAGAGCAGAGCAAGCAAAGGGCAAGCAATGAACCAAGGGGCAAGCAGGCCAGGAGAGGGTTCCCCAGTGCTCCGTAGTCTTCTCCCTGTGCCAGGAGCCCATCCTAGGCTCCCGTTCCCAGTCTCAAGTAGTATTTCAAAACTGTTTCCATGCCCCATATTGGTGTCCTTAGGTTGCTGTTCTTAGACTTTGGACTTTGTCTCCAGTTTTCTTTTTTTTTTTTTTCCCTTTTGAACCCTTGGTTGCACCCTTTAAACTGGTGGTCCCCAACCTTTTTGGCACCAGGGACCAGTTTAATGGAAGACAATTTTTCCATGGACCAGGCAGGGTGGGCAGGGATGGTTTCAGGATGAAACTGTTCCACCTCAAACCATCAGACATTAGATTCTCATAAGGAGCATGCAAACTAGATCCCTCACATGCGCAGTTCACAATAGGGTTCATGCACCTATGAGAATCTAACGCCACAGATCTAACAGAAGGCACAGATCAGGCGGTAAGGCTCACTCGTCCTCTGCTTACCTCCCGGTTGTGTGGCCCAGTTCCTACCAGAGCACAGACCAATACTAATCCATGGCCTTGGAATTAGGGACCCCCGCTTTAAAGTGTCAGGTTCCTGAATTACCTTCTGCCCCTACACTGTCTATCAGCTTTCCCGATTGCATACTCAGCTGCCTCTTGGTCAAATTCACTACGCCCCCATGGCCAGCTGTCAGATTCAGTGCTCTGGGCCTCCACTTGTACAGGAGATTGAACAGATATTGCTGAGTGGGGTTTTGAGTGACGAGTATAGTTCATCAGTCGAAAAAGGGTAGTCTGGCGCTCCCAGCAAAATGGGAGAGCATAAAATGGGAGGCAGCTAAGGCTCGGGGCTAGGGGAAGTTTGTGTGGCACTCTAAAAGTGTTTAGGCTTTATTCCAATAGTGAACCATTAAAATATTTAAATAGAGACAATATGTAATTGTATTTGTATTATGCAAACGTTACTCTGGCTGCAGAGTGATTGTTTGATTAGAAGAAACCAAACTGGGAGTAGAGTGCAGTTAGAAACTTCATCTAGGTGAGGGTAGCAGTTGACTTGTCTGAGGAATGGCACGGTGGATGGCTATGAGAGATGGTAGCAGACACTGTTGGCCACTATCCAAACCATCACCCTCCCCACCTCTTTTTGCTGACAGAGACCTGATTTTATTTGAGCACCTACTCTCTACTTAGACGTATATTCAAGCAAGGAGCCCTCCCCAGATCATGGAGTGATTTGTTTATTTTAGTTACGGCCACTCTCTTTCCTTTGCCAGTGTTTTGATTAAGAAAGGCATGTGATACAATCCTGGCCCATGAAAGGACCTGGAAGTCTGCTGGGGAGTGGGGGTTGAACTTTAGGGAAGGTGTTTTCTAATTCTTAAAAAGAGATGGGCAAGGAGAAACTCACCTTTTTAGCCTCCAGTTGTGCTTGAGGGAAGAAACCAGCCCAGGAATGTGATGGTCATCTCTGATCTATGAGGGGATCAGCTGAAGAGGAGAAGCAAAGCCCCTGGGCATGGAAAGAACTTACCTTGAAAGTGGCATTAAATTTTTTTTTTTTTTTTTGAGACGGAGTCTTGCTCTGTCACCCAGGCTGGAGTACAGTGGTGCGATCTTGACTCGCTGCAATGCCCCTGCTGGGTTCAAGCAATTCTCTGCCTCAGCCTTCCAAGTAGCTGGGATTACAGGTGCCCACCACCACACCCACCTATTTTTTTGTATTTTTAGTAGAGACAGGGTTTCACCATCTTGGCCAAGCTGGTCTTGAACTCCTGACCTCGTGATCCACCCGCCTGCGCCACCCAAAGTGCTGGCATTACAGGTGTGAGCCATCGCTCCCGGTGATGGCATTGAATTTTTAATTACCCAATCTTGGAAACTTGAGATGTGAGACAATAAACCACTTAAAGCTACTTAAGCTATGTTAGTTTGTGTGTGTGTGTGTGTGTGTGTGTGTGTGTGTTTAATGCAGCTCAAAGCATCCTAACTGATAAAGAAAAAAAAAATCAGGAGTTCATAGGACTTGGTGGCTTGTCTGCTTGTGGTTGTTGAGGAGAGGGATGACTGTAAGAGGAGTAATTAGTTTTGAGCTCAGGTCAATAGGTAGAAAATTGTGCTAGTTACTAAGGTGAAAATCCCAGACAGAGATACTGGTTTTAGCAGAATGGTGTGAATAAGAAGACATATTTGGAAGTAGCTAAAATGCAGTTGATGTGCAGGATGTGAGTGAAGGATTATGGGGAGCTGAGTCTGGAAGGGAGAGTTGGCCTGTAATGCCTGGTAATGATATCACATTGATGGATCTCATGTCTGTGATTTGCCATCTCTGTGATCTTGTGGATGTTGCTTAACTTTTCTAAGCTTCAGTTTCTTAATCAACAAAATGACGCTAATACTGCCTAGTTCACAGGGTTATCATTGTAAAGACAAAATGCAATCAGTGAATAAATTAAACATGTTATTATTAATTATTTAATGGGACACATGTGGGGAGCTCTGGGTGGTGATGTGCTAAGAGCTACACTAGGTTTCAGCTGGGAGGGCTGTGCCATGGTTAGACAGAGGAGCAAAGGCTCTGCTAAGTAAGTCCTGCTAAGATCTAAAGCTGTAATTAACAAACATTTTATAGGCTCTGAATCTTTTGTTGTAAAGAAAGTGTATCCAAAAGGGTAATAAATAAAACTAACGAAACAGAGTGCTTTATTGGAAGAGGAAGGAAAGAGGGGCTCAGAACAACCTCCTCTCCCACTCCGAATTTAGAAACTCCTGCAGGGGAGCCGGAGGGGGCTAAGGAGTCTGTAGGTCTCTGTTGGAAACAGGTTGGAAATTGCTAATGCAAACAGGAAGTACTGAGGACCATGGCTGTGGAGAGGGTGTAACAGAGTGTGAGATGTGGAGGAGGAGCACTTTTGGGAGAAGCAGGGGGTTAATAAATGTGTGTAGCACTGAACCGACTTATTCAGCTAAACTATATAAGTCTCTTTCCTAGAGAACTCGTACTCACCCTTCAGAATATAGCTCAAGTGTCACCTCTGCCAGGAAAGCTTCCTTGACATGTACCAAATTATCCTTTCTCTGTGCTTGCTCTGACAGAGAAATTGCCTCCTTGTTAGTCTGCCTGCCTGTGTGACTCTGTACTGGGCTGTGTCTGATTTGTTGGTGTGCCCAGCCAAGGACCTTGCACTTGTCTGAATTGTCCCTCCCTAAATGAGTAGTGGGTGGCCTAATGGAAGTATAGCATGAGGGTTCAGATTTAGGAAATAAGGCCTAAGGGATGAAGGTAGGACTGGATGCCCACCCCAAGAAAGTCACAGAGTTGTGATTAAGGGCAAGAGAAAGGGAGATAGGGAAAAGTTAGAATCCAAATCTCAACGACTAAATGTAAACCCCAGCAGATGGTAGCCAATTGGTAAACAAAAGGGAATTGGCATGATAGGCCCGGAGGAGAAAAATAAGATGCAAAAAGTTTACATAGTAGTACCAAAAGTGTTCTTGCGACCAAGAGTCTGACTCTAACACACTCAGACCTTCTCACCCACACTCCTCCCTTTTCCCTCCAATGACTAGCACAGCAAGGGCGTGCCACTGCCTCCCCCAAGACTTGTTGATAGAGTGATTAAATGAAACCGTGCTGTCTTAATTCTTTTCCTAGTTTTCAGCTGTTTGTTTAAATGGATTTTTTCCTGACCCTACTTGGCATTTCAACCACGCAACCTCAGTGGGCTGTATGTTGTTACACATCAATACAAGCACCTCCTCTCCTCCCCTCTGGCTCTCCCACATTGCTTCTTGGTGTACAAGATCAAAGAGAAATATTGTTCAAACTGCAGATGAAGAAACAAGGCTGGCTGCCTTTGATGTCAGGCAGCAGCAGTGTAATCTGTGCCCCCGACTTGCTTTTACTGCCGATGCAATTTGCAGCTGCGATGTTGAGTCTAGGTAATTGTTTCTCCAGCCCAAACGCCACTAGTATTTTTTATTTAAGTGCAAATTTTCATTTGGCTAAATAAACGGTTCTTGTCTGCCCCCAGCGGATGGTGGCCCTGAAACACTGGGTGCTGGCAGTTTTCACGAAAACAGTGCCCAGGTAATCAGAAAGGCCTAACAAGAGGCCATTATGTAGAGTGCCCCTTCTTTAACTTTCCCTTTTATTGGAACGGTGTAATTTCAGTTTCATAAATACTAAGAGGTTTACCGCTGGGCACCGGAGCTATCCATCTCATTCACCTCGGAAATTAAGGCTGCTGCCTTTCCCTGCAATGTTTCTCTTTGTCTCTAATTTCACTTTAGCTGCCTTTAGAAACCAAGCCAGGATGTAAAGAATTCAGACCATTTTATTTTTTACAAGGTCAGATTGCTCATGATTTCTAATAGAGAATATTGAAAACCTTTTTATTGAGGGTCCATCCTTCTTCTAATATATCTCTCCTTCCAGACACAGTTGCATTCAAAGACATTAACATAAAACCTTAATCTTTGTTCAAGACTATAATAGTAGTAGTAATAATAACAACAGTGGCAGAAAATGCCATGTACTCGTAAGCGCATAGCAGATACAGTTCTAGGCGCTGCATGCACATTATCTCATTTAACCCTTGCAACAATGCCGCAAGGCAGCTGTGATAGCTCTATGTAGCAGAAGATGCTAAGACTCAGAGAAATTAACGTCTTCCCCCAAAAATTACAGTAAGAGAGAGGCAAAGCCAAGACTGGAACCCCAGTTTCTCTGTTAAACTTCGAGACAGTGTTTTTCCTTAGATATGGTGGGAAAAAAATGGCATGGATTTTCACAAATCCATGAGTTATGTTCAAGTCAAAAACGACATTGGTGCTAAGTAGTGAAGCAGAGGGCCCATGCCCTATTTTGCTGCGTTGTGGCTTATAAAACACTAGAATGCTAAGGTATCACAATGCCTCTTCTCTCTGTCCAAACGTCTTCTCCACTGTGCTGCCTTTCCTTTCTTGCCCCGCGTTCCTTCACAGGGAAGTCCTTCCTGATCTCATCAGCAGCCCCTCCCATGTGCTGCTGCGGCTTCTTTCCCTGACTTTTCTCATGGTGTTATCACATGGTGTTGTAGCCTTGATGTCTGACTGTCACCTCCACCAGGCTCCAAGCTCCTTGAGGATGAGATTGTGTCTTATTTGACACCCTTTCCTAATGCCTGGCACTGTGCTTGGATGGTATGCAGGAAACATTTGTTGATTGAATAGAGTGAATACACAGAAAGGTAAACATCCTACTGCCTTCCCACTGAGAAAGTTAGTTAACATGATTTCCCTTCATACCTAGTAGAGTGTAATTCTAGAATCATACTTATTTTTTCTGAATGGGTCTCTGGCTTTCCTGTTTTCCAAACCAAGATGGGGTCAAGCGTGTGCTAAACATTTCTTCCTGGTGGCTATTTCCCCAAAATTAAAGAAGATATGAATAGTGCTCCCAAAAGATTTCATATATTAGAGTTCATTAGAAGATAATTTTTTAAATAGATGGGCAAATGGCCACAATACCTAGCACACAGCAGATGCCAAGTAAATGTGGATCTTCCTCTACCACTTGGATTCGTTTCAGCAAAATGTCGCTAACCCGTGTCTCATTTTTCAGTGTCTTTCAAAATATACTCTATAAAAGTCTTAAGGCAAAGCTGTTGTTCAAGCAATACCCTAACCTTCGGAGGTGAGAGAAGAGCTCTAAACTAAGAACCCCCACTTGGGGAGAAACTGGAATCCTCAATTTTGACTTCTGTTGTGTTCCCTATTTTAAACTCTGGTTTAAGTGTGGGCAGAACCCAGCCCTCTCTCTGGATGTCCTTAGCATAGTAGTGCCAGGCTGACATTTATGGAAAGAACTTTACTACACATGCTGGGAGAACCATGGAGGAAATGGTTGATAGAAACAAAACAAACAGTAAAAATAGCCGTATGTTGCCTTCCCCAGCAGAGTGGGAACACCAGGAAGTCAGGAACTATACTTAATTCATATTTATGTTCTATCCCCTCATCTGGAATATGTTCAATAAAGACTTGAATGAATGATGAATGTAGAAAGGAATGAATAAACCAAACATCAAAGAGCTTGAGTAGACCTTAAATGTCCATAGATGTCGTTACGTAGGCCTTGACAATTTTGCACAAATTCCTCTTTCTTCCTTGCTTGATCTTTCTTTTCTTTTCCCATCTAACTTTTTATTTTCAGGTAAATGCTGTTCTGCTTCCTAAGAGAGCAAACTTCCTATTCTGCCATGGATAGAAATACTACTCTCAGATCCACTGGTCCTCAAGCTCCTCCCACTCAGTTCCAGTTTTCTATGGGATGGGGGTTTGGGGTCATGCATAATTCACAGCTGATTGATTCAGCAGATGTGAATGGCACTCAGTGAGTCCCTATATCAGATCAAGCTCCTCCAATCCTAGGTCTTCCCACCTTTGGAGCCTTATTTAAAAGGGCCACGTTTGGCTGACTGACCTAATAGGAGTATAATGAGAATTAATATGGAGGCATTAATGAAATGACAATAATCCTTTATTTTTAGCTTCTGATGGATTCATGGTAAGTTTTCCTTCTTAAAGTGCTCCTCCTTTGAAAGTTAATTGCCTTTCAGAGGGTGCACCTAGAGAAGAATAAACCTCAGAGCATAGTTATTGAGTCCTCATTACAGAGCTGGGGATGCAATAATAGCTGCTATGTACTGATACCTGCTCTCTACTAAGTACCTTACATATGCTATAACTTTTAGTTCTCACTCCAGACATGCTATACAGGGGTTATTATTGTCTCCAGGCAATTGTTTCCATTATATATTAGAGGAAATGTAGACTTAGGAAAATTACACATTTTGCCTAATGCCACATGGCTAGGAGGTGAGTGAGCCAGAATTTGAACCAATAATTGTCAGATTCCACAGCTCATGCTCTTTGCACTCTAGCTTGCCGTTATTCCATAAGGACCTCACAGCATATTATGGAAGTATCTGCTGGAAAGTGCTATGGGAGAGCTAATGCCATGTGTTGTTGGAACATCAGGAGGAAGGGGAAGAAGAGCAAGTACTTTTGAAAGGAAAAGACATCTTATTGGGCTTTAAAGAGTGAATAGGGGTTTGCTGACCAGAGAACAAAGGGAAGAAATTCCAAGCAGAAGGAACAGCAGAAGCAGAAGTACAGAGGCATGAGAATTCATGCCTGCCATGTTCAGGAGTGGTGGGCCATTCCCTGGTATGTGAGAACATGGTAGTATAGGATGGCTGAGGCAGTAGGGTAGAGATGGGGCATGATGGCCAGAGGGAGGACTGGAGAGGTGGGTTAGAATCTTAAAAGCTCAAAACTTTGTACTGTGGTTAATGAGGTACCATCAAAGACTTCCAAACATCAAATCAAATGACTGCATGATGTCCTTCTCCCCAGCGCCTTACACTAATACTGGGACAGCACACTCAGTGACAGATAGGAGGCAGGGTATGAGCTTGGAAAATCTCAGTAGGGTGCTTTAAATCATTCCAGCTATGTCTACAGGTAGGAGACTTCAAATCAAGAAATACTCTTTAAACAACAATGTGTGTATGTCATGACAAACTGCCTTTAAATGTGTTAGGTGTTGAGCTGGGAATTTGATACTGGGTGGTGGTGTTATCAAGAGAGATCAGGCCGGGCGCGGTGGCTCACGCCTGTAATCCCAGCACTTTGGGAGGCCGAGGCGGGCGGATCACGAGGTCAGGAGATCGAGACCATCCCGGCTAAAACGGTGAAACCCCGTCTCTACTAAAAATACAAAAAATTAGCCGGGCGTAGTGGCGGGCGCCTGTAGTCCCAGCTACTTGGGAGGCTGAGGCAGGAGAATGGCGTGAACCTGGGAGGCGGAGCTTGCAGTGAGCCGAGATCCCGCCACTGCACTCCAGCCTGGGCGACAGAGCGAGACTCCGTCTCAAAAAAAAAAAAAAAAAAAAAAAGAGAGAGAGATCAGCCCACAGCATCCCAGTTTTGCTAATGAATTCCTTTCCCAGACCCCCTGTTTGAAGTGGAACATAATGAGAGTGATGATTCTACCCCAGGCAGGGCATACTTGGAAACTGTGTAATTAAATACATTACCTTGAAATGCTTTATTGGAAATGTGTAACAGCACCCCAATAGGAAAAGTGGGTGAGGGTTGGAGCGTGTAGGGGGAAATTATTTCATTTCATTGAGAGATTTTAATACTTTTTTTTTTAAAAGAGACTGATTGTATTTAAAAAATAAGGTAGTTGGGAACAGTGGCTCACACCTGTAACCCTAACACTTTGGGAGGCTGAGATGGGGGGATTGCTTGAGTCCAGGAGTTCAAGACCAGCCTGGGCAACATAGTGAGGCTATGTCTCTATGCAAAAGTTTTTGAAATTAGCCAGGCATGATAGTACATGCCTATAGTCCCAGCTACTCAGGAGGCTGTCAGGAGGATTGTTTGAGCCCAGGAGGTTGAGGCTGCAATGAGCTATGATCATGCCACTGCACTCCAGCCTGAGTGACAGAGGAAGACCTCATCTCAAAAAATAAATAAATAAAGTTATACATAATGTTTTGAATTAAGAGAAATAAAAATATCAAGATTATATGGAGCCGCTGGTTTGCTCACCTATACTAAGGACAGCAGCTTCACAGTATTTGCCTTGCTTTATAAAGAGCTTCTAAACTAAAGGATCCTAGGACAAGATCCCACAAGGGCATTGGGTATAGATCCAATTCCTCCATCTGTCTTGTCTGCACTAGGTCCCACCACTCCTGAGTAAGAGACAATGTCACAAGCCAACATCACCTATAAAAAAGGATTCATTTTTTCCTCCTGATAAAATAACCATTCTTTCATTTCACTGGCCCTCATTAAATGCCTAACATAAAATCCCAAAGGTATTCTACCCATCTGCTTTCAAAGACAATTTCACAGTCATGTAACAAAATGCACCTATGCTGTTAACCCACTTGTGTGATGCTGGCCTTTAAATGTATGTGGTTTTCCAAACATGTTTCTCCAGAAGTAGCCATTATCACTTCTTCCACATTTCTTGTGACAAGCACATGTTTATCCAATTTGTATATATGTATGTGCACATATATATATACACATATGTGTGTATATATATAATTATATATATATAATATGTAATATATAAAATTTTCCCCCTCTGAAGTAGGCATTTCTCCATCTTACACAGGGAGGAACTGAGGCACAGAGAGACCAGAGAGATGTGCCCAGGGACCTGCTGGCCAGTCACTGGTGAACCTCAGTCTTTGTCCCAGGTCTCTGGCAACCCAAGCCTGGGCTTTTCCACTGTCCCTTACCACCGCACATACTCTGAGAGAATGGTTCCAGTTCCCAGCTTCTGCTTAGAGATTGGGACTACACAGCTCTTGCTGCAGACTAATGTGCAGCATTTCTTTATACATGGACATGACTCATCAGACCTTTGAAAATAGGATTGTTTCTGAACAGTCCTAGGGCAATCCCCTTTCCTCCCTGTAGCAAAAAGGAAGACAGAGCCACAGAAAGGAGATGACGGTGCCCCCTAACACCCACAGGCCCAGCAGAAGAGAAAGGCAGAGGAAAAAAGCCCTGAACATCATTTAAGCCCCTCAACCCGAATGCTAAAGCAAACAGACAATAACAACAATAATAAGACTGCCATTTACTGATGTTTTCCTTGTTTCAGAAACATCTCATTTGATCCTCACAGCAATGCTATGAGGGGCAAGCAATTATTCTCATTTTAATGATGAGGAAATCAAGGTTTAAAAAGCTCAAGATTTTAAAAAACTATTTAAGTCTTTACATATATACATTATTTAAAGAGACAGTTTGGAGGTGCCACTCCTGGTCCCTGGATATCTCTGACATCATTTTCTTCCCTGCTTCCCTTCTCTGGCACAGTGAACATTTTGCTGTTATAACAACACAGCAAGCAGGTAACCTCCTCCATGGCTTTCACTTGCTGTTCGCTCTCCCTAGAACGTTCTACTTAAACATTTTTTCATGGCTTGCTTCCTGACTTCATGCGGGTCTCTGCTCAAATGTCACCTCCTCAAACAGAGTTTCTCCGGACACCATTGACTACTCTCTAATCCCTTGATGTTGCTTAATTTTTTCATCAGCGTAATTTTCCTACCTATCATTGTATTTTGTATTTGTGTGTCTGTTTGCTTATTGTTTGGCTTCCTCTCTAGAGCATAAGTGTCATAAGCAGGGACTTTGTCTATTTTATTCACCAATGTCTAGAGCAGTGCCTAGCACAGAATAAGCAATCCCATATTGTTGAATGTATGATTTGTTAAGTGCGCAATTAAATGTTATCATAGGTTGATTTCGCTGTAAGAACATTCACATAACTAAATTCATATATAGTTAAACAGACTCTGTCCTGAGTTTGCAGCATTCATTCATTCATTCGTCCTTTGTCCATTCCATTATTCAGCACTTACTAAGCTGCCCCGCACACTGGGCATTGTGCGGCATAGATGATGAAACCAGCTCTGGCCTTCATAATACTAGAGTGCCTTGGAGAAGAAGAGTGAGTAGAAAGACTGAAATGCTGTGGTATGCAGGAGCACATGGTAACGGGGGACTCCCAAGGAAAAATATTTTACTTCTGTCCTCAGGGTCTCATATTGAACAAATGAAATCTGTTGTTTGTCCCTTAGGGTGAGCTTGCTTTTTCCATAATTGGGGTTGTGGGGAGGGTGGAAGGAATGAAAAAATTAGAAAGGATCAGCTGACGTGCCTTTATTTCTTCACCATAAATACCTCTCACACCCAGGCTGGAAGGGAAAAGATGTAAAGAAATGTTTGCGCCTTCACTCAGAGCTGAGGAGAAAAAGGCAGGGTTTTATGCTGTTTTATTGACATTCAAGAATACCGCTTATCAAAAATCACAAGTTAGAGCTTTCTTGAAGTGGATTCATTTTCTCCTCCAAGCCACTTGACTGGATTTTGCCAGAGAAGAGTAAATTTCAAACCCCTTGAAAGTCAGTCTCCCCACAGTCTACAGACTTGCCACAACAATAGCAATAATCCCACTAATCCCAGCTTTCAGACGATGGATGTCCAAACTCCTGGTGGCCACCCCTCCCCCCCACCTGTCTGCTGTGTCCTGTCCCCTCTGCACAGATGCCGGCTACAGCAACCCTCTGCATGAGATGCGCTGTTTTCTGTCTCCAGTCATTTACCTTCTCCTGCCTGAAATGCCCTTCTCCTCTTTTTCCTTTGACGATCTCCCCACTCCACCCTATCGTCCTCCAAGGGTCATGTCAGGGGAAACTTCCTCCAGAAAGTTTCCTGTGATGCTGCTCTCCACCACCTTTTCTTCCACCCCTATCTTCATATTGGCTCTCATTGCACCCTTGGAGTCCTTCTCACTTAGCTACCTTTATGCTACAATTTCTACTTATGTCATCTCTTTCACGAGACAGGAAAGTCTTTGAGGACAAAAATTTTGTTTATTTTTGTCTTTTTTTTTTTATTTAAGTTTTGGCTTTCCTAGAATCTTTCTCCAATGCTCTGTAATAAGTCATTTAATGCTTATTGAATTAGGCCTTTGCAGACTAAAGACTAGGTATAGATGATCTTTTGTTTTTCCTTGCTTGATTACTGAGGAATGTTTTATGTGTCCAACGAGATCACTGACTCAAAGAACTTAAAGGAAAAGCAGATTAGCCACTCTGGGTTTGGTATAAATGTTCCACATCAGAATGCAAAATCATAATAAAGGAATCTATAGTTTCGTGTTGCTGGGAGTCAGGAGGCCTGGACTCTGGTTGCAGCCCTGCCACTATCTTGCTGTCTGGCTGTGGGCAAGTCATGGTCCTTCTCTGGGCTTCTCTTACTTTCTCTGAAAAAATAAGCACATGGACTGAGGACTGCCAAATCTCTTGTAGATCTAAAATCCTAGAATTCTATAATCTTTTTCACATATTAAACACTTTTTTCATGGGCTCAGAGTTGGCTTTACCATTTCAATGTCTTGTGACAGTATTAGCTAGGAAATGCAAGCATCTGACCTCAGCAGAAACACTACAAGTCCCCACCAATCAAATTTCTCAGAAGAAAGTACATTCAAGTGGGGGAAAAAAAAGAGATGGGGAATTATTCATTTACTGCTCTCTAAGGCTCAAAAATGTAGAGATTACTATACTACATCTTCCTACAAGTTTTTTTACTTAATCTTACTGGCAGCCCTTTGAAGTAGCCCAGGTGGGCAACTGGGTAGCCATTAAATATGCCATTCACCAAATGGTTCAACTCTTCATTCTTCTAAGAGAATAGTAGGAGCATGATTTCTGGCCCACAGTGGTTGGGGATACTATGTAACCAGTTCTTTCTAAGAAGTTGTGAAATAATTGTCAACTTCAAGCTGAGCATTTAAGTGCAGGCATGAGGCCATCTCAGTTTCTCTGTTTCCTCCACAAGGGTGGGCAGAAGTGTTCCAATCAATGGCTGCTCCATCAGCATAGGTTCTGGAGTGAGGCTAGTGTAGAGAAGAAGCCCCAGATGACAGATGAACTGAGAGGTACACATGGCACCAGCAAAAAACAAAACAAAGAAAATCTTCATTGCTTTAAATCACTGGCATTCTGGTGCTATTTGTTGCTGCGTCACAATTTATCCTACCTTGACTGACATGGGCATTATTCCTAGTTTTCCTATGAGGAAAACTGAAGCTCAGTAAAGTAAAATGAACACTTTTTTAGGGTCATACAAACCTCATAAGTGTCCAAACCTGGTTCAGTGCTATTTTCTCTGTTCCATACTGCTGTCTTAATTAGGATTAGGTATTAAGCTTGATTTAATTTGAGCCCAGCCTGTGGGTACTGGCTTTCTTGGTCACCTATTGGAAGATAAGAAGGGATAGTGATAAGAGCATAGGCTTTGGAGCTGAGCAGGTATGAGCTTGAGTCCAGGTTCTGCCACTCATTAGCTCAATGTCCTTGGCATGTTGCTAGTGTTTGGTCTCCTAGTTCTTCTGAATTAAGCAGGACTGCAGATAATGGGAATCCTTAATAGCAGGGAAAACTTACTGTTAATTGTATGATAGCAAACATCAGTTGCAGGATGGGTAGTTATTTTGGGGTGATGTCTGCCTTCCAAACATTCCTCAAATCAGAGAGGCTAAGTCACTTACCTGTATTCATGCAATAAATGGCAGAGCGTTGATCCCAACACAGGCCTTTCTGATTCCTTCCAGTGTGTCTCAGCCTTCAAGACAAAACTAGCTCTGCTAAAATTCTACGACAGTGAGGAATGAGAGGCACAGCCCAAATTTAATGACTAACTTCTTGTTTGACTTGGAGCTTCAAGTTGATTTACTCCTTGAATATTCTTTTCTCTCTTACTCTGGCTTAGCATTGAGAATGGCAGACATTGCCTTGGCAAGGTTACAGGATAAACTTGCTGCTTTTAGGACGTCTGTATCCAGCGGAATCTTTATTTTCTGTCCCTTGGGCATAATCTTGGAAAAACACATCTGTTATTCCGGGTGCTTACCTGACTGGGCTTATTTTTCCTCCCTTGGATGGAGAAAAATGTGCTATCAACAGATGAGGAAGAGTTTTCACATCTTTTGAAGTCACGGACCCTTTGGGTATTAAAAAACAAACTCTCAGAATCTTGATTAAGTCATAAAGTGTTATTGAAAAAATGAGAGATCAGTCCTTCAGCTCGAAGATGTCAAAGTCACTGGACATGAATTTGGGGTCTCTACTGATTAAGTCACTGAAGTGTGGACAATGGTTGGGGGTTGAGCACACCTTAACAGATGGACTGTACATTTCTCAAATACCTGTACCAGGACACATATCCCTTCCTTTCCCATTGGCTAAGCCACATTTACATGCAACTGCCTCGAAACTCATCCTTTCTGGTAACTTTCCAGGACCTGAAAAACAGAAACAAAGGCTAGGATGAGAGTTAAATACTTTGATCTACCTTATTCATTCATTTCAAAACACTTATGAAGCACCTATGTGCCAAGCTCTATAGTAGACACTTAAAATTCGATCCCTGACCTTATAGAGGTTTTAGATAGTGGAAACATATGAAAATAAGGCAATTAAAAGATGGTATGCTCGGCCAGGTGCAGTGGCTCACACCTGTAATCCCAGCACTTTGGGAGGTTGAGGCAGGTGGATCATGAGGTCAGGAGTTCAAGGTCAACGTGGCCAAGATAGTGAAACCCTGTCTCTACTAAAAATACAAAAATTAGCCAGGCGTGGTGGCAGGTGCCTGTAATCCCAGCTACTCGGGAGGCTGAGGCAGAGAATTGCTTGAACCGGGAGGCAGAGGTTGCAGTGAGCCGAGATTGCGCCATTGCACTCCAACCTGGGCGACAGAGCGAGACTCCATCTCAAAAAAAAAAAAAAAAAAAAAAAAAGATGGTATGCTCATTCATTTAACAATATTGAGTGCTGATCCTATGCCAAGCACTGTCATAAGTGCTGGGAATTTAACAGTGAACAAACTTCCCTGTCCCATGAACCTTAGCTGTTGATGATGGGCAGATAATAAGATAGATAAGTACATGATGCAGTGGTAAGTGGTAATAATGAGCACTCCAAATGAGGATGGGCACAGTAAGTGGAGAGGGTGCAGTGGAGGGTGTTGTTTCTGCCAGGATGGTCTGGGAGGGGTTCCCTGATGATGTGATGTCTGAGGGGAGCCCTAGGTGATAGTGGGCCATGAGACCTGCAGTGTCCTGTGGGGACACCTCAGTGGGTCATCTAACCCACGTCTACTTTGTGACTTTGGTCAAGCCACCTGACTTCTCTGAGCCTTTGTTTCTTTTTTTGGATCTTGAGGAGGTTTAATGCCCTACCTGCCCACATCATCTGATGATGAAAATAAAGAAAATCCATCCCTGAATGAGGTGCCTGCTCTTCCGTCTTGATCCTGTGAGTTATTCTCATCAGCCTGCTCTCCAGATGGCCTTGGCCAGTAACAATGTCATGCTTTCTATGGTGCTATGTAAAGTCAATGTCTCACTTTGAATCCAGCCACCAAAAACCAAGTCTCCCAAATTCCCTGAGCTCAACTCCACAACAGATATGATGAAAGGAACCTGTTTTTTCATATTATTGTCAGGAATAGTAATCTCATGTGTTTAATGCCCTCTAATGGGACTCGCCTTGGGTGAAGTGATTTGGCATTATGTTCACTATAACAATGTTACTATCATTATATTTATTAATATTAAAATTAACACGTGTGGAAACCTCAAGCATATGTCTGGCATATAATTAATACTCAGCAAATACTATTTATCTTTATTGTTTTTTCCTTTTCTTTCTCATCCTATTTCCAGTGATTCTTGCCCTCTGTTTTGTTTGAGCAGAGGCTGCAGGGAGCTAACATCATAGGACTTTAGGCTCAAGGGAGAGAACAAGGTAAAAAAACTCTTTAACTTCCTTCTTGGAAACTTACATTGCACATTTACTGAATGCCAAGCTATGTTTTAATCAATTTACATATATATTAACCTATTTGATCCTCACTTTGACACTATGAGGAACATACATCAATTATCCCCATTTTCTAGATATGGAAACTCAGGTATAGTGATATCAAGGAACTTCTTCAAGATCACTGGGCTAATTAATCAAAGAATTCTCTAGCCCAAGCCCCCAGAACAAGAAAGGATTTAGGGGGTCAGGGCAGAAGTTCTTTAAGGAGTTAAGATAAAAAGTGGTGGAAGACTTTCTACAGTATCTCTCCAAATCCTGAAAGGAGCAGATAAGATGCAGGGAATGCTTGAGCCCCAATGGGGAGGCACCCTATGCTGGAAGGCAGGGGTTAGAGTGGTGTTTCCTGTTGTCTGAGTTCTGCTTACCTTCTTGGATTCTCCTCTCTCCTTCCCTGGGGCCAGCAGGCATGCCCAAAGGTAGTTGTAAATTGCTAATCTCAGCTGCAGAAAGACAAAGTGAATTATTAAAGAGAAAAAATGAATCCACATGCCTTTGAACTCAGACTCGAGCACAGCTTGGCTCAGAGCCTGGTGCTGCTCGTCTCAGAACTTTAGGGTCAATAATTGCCAACTCCTTGCACCCTGCCCTCTGAGACTTGAGGTGGTCCTTGGGCACTGAAAGACCAAGTGTGGATTCCCAGGTACAGATGCAGCATGAGGGGAACGTGCTCCCCAGCCTTTGGAAGCCGTCAATCTTTCCTTTCTCCTTTCTCCTGGAAAAGTAGTTGGGTTTGAGGAATAGTGGGGTACTTTGTCAGTTAGCTGCTGGGGCACCCATTGATCTTTGGAGAGCTAAGGTCAGAAGAACAATTACCCAGCCTGTAATCCTTCTCCATATTTTTCTTCTCCAGACCTGTTGGAATTACATAAGATTGTCAATGCAAGCTTTGTTCTGCTGGTGTTTCTCTCCCTCCTGTTATTTCTCTCTTCCTATCCATTGTTGTCTCCACCTTCTTCTTCATTCTCATTATTTGCCAGACTGTACCACTTTCCTCTTTCCTCCTCATCTAGGGAGTGATGAACCCCTTTGGTCAATTTCAAGGTCGTTTCTCGGCTTGCTGTGGATCATCTGTCCACTGATGTGAAACCGCCATGCAGGGGAAAGCTGGAGGCATCAGATAAATGTGAATTGAAATTTTGGTGTTTTACCTATTTGCTATGTGACCTTGGACAAATCACTTAGCCTTTCCTCCTCTTTAAGTAAGGATTGGATTAGCATATGAGTGTACTTGTGACTGGTCAGTGGCAAGTGACCCACTGATGGTATTATCATTATCATTGTTATTGTTTTTTTTTATTATAATTATTCCCTATAGAGAAGGGGTGTGGGTAAAGTCAGCCCCTGCCTGCCTCAACCCCACCAGAACTCAGCAACAATAACAAGCATTGCTCCTGAAGGCTTTGCTTGCACAGGGCCTGAGCCAATAAGACACAGTCTGATGTTAGGAGGACCATCCTTAGAAAAATGGTCTAGAAAAGTCAGATGTGCAGTTACCTAGATGAAGATGACCCAGGAAGACTCCCTTCCAGCTTCATTCCATGAACATCACTAGGCTGCAGCTTGGCCATCTGACCTCTCCCTGAAGCTTCTCAGCTTCATCAGTGTAGCTACAAGAAAGGAGCTTCTGTCACTGCCTTCAGAGCCCTTGGTGTCACTGCCTTTTGAGGGCAGCGAGGAGGAGGGGAAATAGATTTGTTCGAGTTTATTTATGATTCTTGACATGAGTACAAAAACCCTGGTGCAGTAGAACTGGAAAGACTGCTAGATTTAGAATGAGAAGACTTGGATCTGAGCCATGACTCTATCGTTTACTAATTAGGAAACCTTGGGCAAGTCTTTTAACTCTGAGAACATCTCCTGCCATTAAGTGACAACAATCCTTTAGTGTGGATGCTTCTAGCATGGCACTTAGTACATGCTGGCTCCTTTCTTTTAACACTCTTCTAGGGAGGATACTAGACATGGATTTCCACTCTGCAGGAACCCAGAGTTGGCCGGGAGAAACAAAGTGCTTATAATAGTTGCCAATTATTATATAAGAGGCAGCATGGCCTTGGGTGAAGTGCAAAAACTCTTGTGTGAGACTTCCTGGGTGCACATCTCTGATCTCCTGCTTATCACCTGTGACTTTGGGCAAATTAATTAATCTCTACATGTTTCCATTTTCTCATCTATAAAATGGAGCTTGTGATATTAGTATACATATATAGTTGTTCTGAAGATTAAGAGAGTAAATAGACATGAACCATCACCATCACAGAAGGATCTTTGTCTCAGTGCTAGTTACTATTATTATATATCAACTTACAGTAACCCTTCTTAAATGCCCACCTCACTATTTCCTTTTCTTTCATCCCTTGGCCGTATTTGATTGGACTAGGGGTTGGGACCTCATATGAATTTAAGTTGAGCTGATCAGAGTCCCTTCTCTAGAAATTTGGAAATGAAGCCGAGTATTGTGTTTGTGTGTGTGTGTGTGCCTGTGAGAGAGAGAGAGAGAAAGACTTGTAACAGATATTCTCAATAGCGTTGGTGAAAACATCTTCCCTCTACTTCCCACCTGGGTAGACTGGAGGAGCAGGAAGAAAAACAGAGAGATTCACAAAGAGGGACAGAGATAGAGCCAGAGAAAGGCAGCAGAGTTGGAGGACACACAGAGGGGAATACAGGAGAGGGAGAGAGAGTCGGACAGCTCTCTAGACCTTGGTTCTAGTACATTCTTGAAGCCCAGCTGCATTTGTGACCTTGAATTCTGAGGACACTTCTATGTCATTTTTGACAAATCCTTTTGAATCAATCAGGACAGCTTAATTTATGCTGCAGTAACAAACATTCCATACACAAATCAAGATGGTTTAATACTACAC
The DNA here is from genome assembly GCF_000001405.40 of Homo sapiens. Taxonomy (NCBI): domain Eukaryota; kingdom Metazoa; phylum Chordata; class Mammalia; order Primates; family Hominidae; genus Homo; species Homo sapiens. The sequence goes on along the minus strand of NC_000001.11, from coordinate 58,075,561 downwards.
AGGTTTTGCTCCTTCTATAGGCCAACATACACAATCACCAGGGAGCTCTCTGCCTTATCATCCTCACTCAAAGATAGAGGCTTTTTCTTGACACAGGCCTCCACAGTAACTTTAGTAAGGAAGGGAATGTGGCAAACTGTGCACTGGCTCTAAACCTTCCACTTGGAAGTGACACAGATTGCTTCTGCTCACAATTTCATTAGCCAAAAAAGTCACATGACCACACTTATCTTTCACGGGGAGGAGAAGTACAATCTCACCATGTGTAAATAAGGAATCCCAGAGTATTTTTGAACAGACTTTACTAACTACCATGCCCTCTTTTCTTCTCAATCCACCTTAAAATGCTTTCTATTAAAAAAGTGATTAAACAATAATTCCTAAAGAACAGAGATGAACAGAAAAGAAATTCTCTGTTTCCTAGGTGGTTGGAATTTAATTGGCTGGGACAAGCTTTTAGAATCCAGAGAAGGAACAAACTAAAGAGCAGATAAAGTTATGCAAGCTGGATGGAAGAGGTAGTATTTGAGCTGGGTTCTGTTGGTGGAAGTGTTTGCCTGGCACCTTCACAATTCAGCTTTGGAAACTTTGTTTGTCCATAACATGGTGCACTTTGAAGCCATGAAGGCTGGAGTCTGCATCCCTGCTCCCGGGGGACAGAGTGAGCTGATAGATGACAGGCACGTAGCATATTACATGATGCTGACTAGAAGTTCAGGAAATGTTCCCTGCCTTTCCTTATCTCCCTAAACCACAGTCTTTTCTTTCTAGTTACTGCTGTGGCAAAGTTTCTTATTTTCGCCTGGGGAATCTAAACACTTCATACTGGCAGTATCACTGGAGGCCACGTGATTGAGGGGTTTGCCATTTTCCTGGGAAGACGAGTTTACTTGTTGGCATAAAGTTCGTTGCCTTGCTGTTACAAGCCAACAGACTTGAGGCTCTGAGATACCATCTGTTTCTCAAATATATATATATATATATATATATATATATACACACATATATATATGTGTGTATATATATATATATATATATGTATATATATTAGAATCTTCCCTGAGAATGTCATTTTCCACTTCAGAGATAATTCTTTTTTTTTTTTTTACCAACTAGTAGAAATCCTGGATACTTACAATTATTCTTTTTGTGTGATTATTAACCTGTAAAATGAAAGAGAAAAATATGTATATACAGAATAGCAGTTGAAGCCTAGTGCAACAGAATTATATTTCTAAGCCACAGCTCCAAGAGTAGCTCTCCTCTGCTCTAAAACTGTCAGTAGGTACCCAATGACCACAGAATAAATTTTAAGTACAATTCTAGTAACATCTCTCATGATATTAATATTCCTTCATGTGGTACCCTTCCTCCTATCTGCAACCTTTGAAGTCAGCTAAACAGCAACCTATTTATAACGTGTTTGGTTGCAAGTAATAGAAAACCCAACTCAAAGAGACTTAAACAATAGTGGAATTTACCGGCTCATGTATTTGAGAAGTCCAGAAGGATAGAAGAACTCAAGGTTGGTTTGAACCTGTGTCTCATCAATATCACATGGATATGTTCTTTCTGTCCTTTTGATCTACTTTTCGTGGAGTCATTTTTATCTCTTTGAGGACTTAAGATAGCTGAGGATGTCCCCAGGGGTTCCGGGCCTTCTGCTTCCCTTAGAGAGTGAGCAGTATTTCCATTCATTCACCTTCTGAACTAATTTCCCACCTTCCTCTAATTATACCTTCGTAAGTTAATTGCACACACTGGATTACTCTGGCTAGTGTAAAGGATTGTGCTGAAGGCTTAACAAATCACAGAGACACATTGACTTGGGCCAGTCAGCTGCCCCATCCCCATTCCAAATTCTACCTGAATTTCCCACTTTAAAATTCCCTAGTTAGAATTTCAAAACCCAGAAAGTATGCATGCTGGGGCTGCAACCATTAATGCATCCAATATGGTCAACATTTAATCTGTCTATATACTCAGCAAATATTTATGAAGGACTTACTATGTTTCAGAAGACTGTATTCTACCAGACATAGTCTTAGGCTTAAAGGAAGTCACAGTCTACTGTAGGGGCCCTGGGGAGAGCAAGTACAGAATGTTTTGAGTTTCTACTCAGGTGCTATGATAAAGGTTGGCACAGGGTGCTCTATGAGCCCAGAGAAGAGGAGAGGGCATCCACAGTGGAAATTGAGGGTGGGTAGAGTCAGAGAGGACTTTCCAGGGGAGATGATGCTGAGGAGAAAATGAAATTTAATCAGTTGGGAAGGTGGAAAGAGGAGAGAGGAAAGAACAGTATTCCAGACAGACAACACAGTATGTGTGAAGGCAGAACAATGGACAAAGCATGGTTATTTGGCTAACGCAGCTAGTTCTGTATAGCATAGGTGTCAAGAACATGGACTCTTGACATCAGAATGCCTGGGATCACATGCCAGTTCTATTACTTAGAACTGTGTGATGGGTAAGTTACTTGACTTCTATGAGCTTCTGTTTCCCCATTATAAAATAGCTATAATAATACAAATAACAGTAACTACCTCATTAAGGTTGGTGAATATTAAATGAGTTATGTATAAACTACTTTCATTATGCTGCACTATAGAAGCACTATAAAAGTGTTAGCAATTATTATCATGGCCAGTGTTGTGGACACACACACTTATCTATTTGGAAGCACCGAATCTGGAAAGTGAATAGGAAACCTGGAAAAATTTGATGTTGCATATAATACAGCCTTGCTTTCCCCTTGGTTACAGCTGTATCACGAATTCAAGGCTTGCGAACTGCAAAGGATTTTATTGTTCTTGTCTAAATTGATCGCTTAAGCTGCTGAGTTGGAGAGATTTTGCATGATCATATCAATGTTGTCATCTTATCATTACTGTAATCACTGCTGCTCAGCAATTTCCTCATCTCAAAAAATGAGACAGGATAGTTTGTGCTTGAAGGTTTGTTCTTCGGAATCAGACAGATCTATCTGACTTGATTCCTACTCTGTCACACACATAATTCTCACAGCAACTCTGTGGGTGAGGTCTTGTTACTCCCATCTTGCATATGAGGAAACTGAGGATTGGAAAAATTAAGCAATCCACCTACTGTCATAGAGATGGTAGGTGGCAAGACTGCACTTTGAGTCCAGGATGAAAACTAGGGTTTTTTGCTTCTGGATTGTTAATTTTGTAAAATGGGATAATGACAGTAACTACCTCCATATTGGTGTGAAGATAATATGAGATAGTAGTTGTGAACCAGTCAACACTATGAATGGCCCAAAATAAATATTTAATAACTTTGCTCTGATTATGGCAATATTTGTCTTTCTCAAGTTTTTAACAAGCATCAAATTAACTAATGGGTGTGAAAAAAGTATAAAGAAGGAAGACCATTCATTGAGATATCATAAAAAGAGTTCATGATGATTAATTTATTTAAAATTGCAAAACCTTCCCTACTACCCACCCCCCCCCACCCCACCAATAATGTTTGCTATCCCCTATCCTGCTTTATTTTTCTCTGGAGGACTCCCCACCATCTAACATGGTATATTTTAATTATTTACCTTTTAACTTTTGCATGTTCCTTACTAGAATGTAAGCTTCAAGAGGGTGGGAATTATAGTTGGTTTTGTTCTTTGTTGAATCCCCCAGGCCTAGAATAATGCTTGGAAATAATAAATGCTCTATAAATATTTGTAGAGTGAATGATGAATTCACAAGTTAATTAATCAATTGTCAATTAGAAAAATGAGAATTCAGGTCCCTTCCAGTCCTAAGATCCTGTGATTCTGTGTGTTCACATGCATTTCTTGACTGTTCCTACTTTTGAAGGATACAGGAGAGTGGAGAGTTATCTGTCTCAGTTATCGTGCTGGCAAAATCATAGCTTCTTCATGAACCTCAAGGCTTGTGTAAAACTTACCTCATCATGAGCATCATTTCCATGTGTTCATTCTTCAGACTCAGGTTAATGCTTTAAGGCAACCTCCATGTTTGGTTGGCATCACCTGGTGAACCAAACATCAGTGCCATGTCAAAAAGCAATGACACCATGCCTTTCTCAGCACAGACACCTAGAGGAGCCACAGCACAGTCCTTGCTCACCCTTCTCTTAGCAGCCCAGCAGCGGGAACTTCAGTCTCTCCCCACCCACACACACACACACACACACACACACACACACACACACACACCATTCTCCTTTGATGGAGGTAGAGTTCCTATTTCTTCTTCACATGGATTCTGGATCTTCCCCATCCATACTGTGTGTTCTCCCAGGATAGTACAGATCACATCAGAGAATCCTTCCTCAGCTGGATTAGTAACACCCTTCATTTCTTCAAGAATACAACACACGAAAGAACTTCATTCTTTAAAAGCAAATGTAGATTTTCCTCGTTTCCTCCTGCCCATCTGGCCATTCTTGCTAAGCCTCTGAAAAGGCCCATCTTGGTGTCCCCAGAGCTCTGTTCTACTCCCCACTCCCACATCACACTACACATCCTCTCATAGCCATTCCCTCCACATTCCTGGCTGCAACCACCAAGTCTCTTCTGGCAGCTTCTCTATGGTCCAGGCTCTCTCCTGAGCTCCAGGGGAAACTTGTGAACTGGGCGTCTCCACCTGGATCACTCTCAGGCACCTGACACTCAACATTTCCACACTTAATTCAACATCTGTGCCCTTGAGCCTGCCTTCCTACACCAGCTTGCAGCAGCTCCATTCATCCGGTCACACAGGCCAGAGACCCATGTTCCAGCCTGACTGTGACCTTGCCTCCTCCTCACTCCTGTCCTGCTTCTGGGCCTCCATTGGCCTTCTAGAGATGCGGATTCAGCATCCTGATGAGTCCCGAGTCTAGCCACTCCTCGCATGCCTATCCTAGCCACAGGCCTGCATCCCATCTCACACAATGTACTTCATCCTCCTTTGCCTCCAGTCTTTACCTTCTCAAATGAACTCAGTTCACTGCAGCAGAGGAATATTTCTAGAACACAGTTCCAACTAAATCATGCTCCTGGTTAAAGCCATTATGTGACTTCTGCAGAAGTAAGACTGAGATTCTTGCCCCGCTCCTGCCCCAGGTGTCTGGCTCATCCACCACTACTATCCTTAGCTTCCTCACCTACAAATCGCAAGTATGTATCCCTCTCTCATGGGGTTGTTGTGATGACCAAACCAGCAAATCCATGTACTGTGTGACATCTTTGCCAGCATGATGTCTGGCACACAGTAGATGCTCCACAACTGCCCAATTCCCTTCCATCCTTCTTTCTGAACCAATATTTGGGATTGATCATAGACTTTGGTGGAGATTTCTCTTCTGTAAACTGAAACTGAAGCATTTTTAGCTGTCTTTCTTTTGCCTAGGCAAAAGCAGAATGCCACTCCCCGCATCACAGTTCTATCTCTGTGATGACAGATCATCAAATAATTAGGGCAGCAAGCATCTGAAATTGTGTCAGCTCCCTGATGGTTGGGTCCCCAAGTGCCTGGCCTAGTATTGAGCAAGGCATGAGCTTCTCTCCATGCTGCTTCCCCAAAATCTCTGGGCTGGGATAGCTGAAAGGAAGAGAAAGAGAATGCCTGGGGCACTGACTCTGTGGGCAAGGGCAGCAGCTTTCTATGTCTCCGCAAGAGGCATTATAGGTGAATATTTGGCAGGGAAGGTTAATGAAAAAAGCATAGGTGTTGGAATAAGAAAATGTGGGTTTGAAGCCTGACTCAAGCCCTCCACATATCTAGTACATGTTGACAACTTTTTGAGCCTCAGTTTCCTCAGCTCTGAAATGGGGATAATGCTTTTTATCTCATTGGGTTCGTGGAGAGATCAAATTAAATAATGGATGTATTACATAAGATATCATTTCAACATGGAGACACTAATTATTGATATTAGGTGTGTTGTGCTGAACATGCATTGAGGGACAGACAGTGACAGTCACAGAGCAGACTCCTCTGTCTACTCGCTGTCTGGGTGAACTGGGGCTTGTTAATTAACCTCTCTGGGCCTTAGCATGTTTATTTTTAAAATAGGGACAATTGCCCGCCACAGTGCATAGGATTGGTTATGTATGTATTCTTGGTACGCCGTAAAGTACAAAGGATAGTTACAATTCTTGTTATTTATGCTAATTATGGTAGACAAAATTAATTATTCATCATTATTATTAAATCAGGACAGTAAGTACTGTTGTTTTAGAGGACGGTGCCTCGGTTGGAAGCCTTGGACAAACTTAATCTCTGTGTCTGTTTCTTCAAGTATGAGGTTAAGAGGGTAAGTTTGGTGAGCACCTAAAACAGTGCCTGGTATACAGTAAGCAGGCAATAGATGTAAGTGCTCAACAAACGCATGTTGGATAATTTAGTGAGTGAATGAAAAGTTATGTCATGGAATTATTTTGAAGTCTACATGGAATGAGACTGTGTATTATGTACTGTGGAGTGATGCACATAAGAGCATATTACTCTTTGACAAAGCCGTCATATAGCATGTCCGAGCCTACCAGAATAGCCTCCTTCAACATGTCTTTGTGTGCTCTTCTAATGCAACAAGGATGGACTCTGCACACCCAGCCCTCCAGGGTCAGAGCCCTGAAAGCCTCGTGAAGCCCAAGGAGACTGTGGTGTTGTGTGTCACACCAAGCGTAAGTGACAGTAGTGAACACATTAGAGGTGCAGTTTGCCTTTCTTCATTCCCACTCATTCTCATACTAATTTGGAAGAACATTGGACCCAAGAGTCAGAGATAATGATGCTTTCTTTTTTTTTTTTGGTTTTTTTTTTTTTTTGAGATGGAGTCTCACTCTGTTGCCCAGGCTGGAGTGCAGTGGTGCAATCTCAGCTCACTGCAAGCTCTGCCTCCCAGATTCACGCCATTATCCTGCCTCAGCCTCCCGAGTAGCTGGGACTACAGGCCCCCACCACCACACCCAGCTAATTTTTTTGTATTATTAGTAGAGATGGGGTTTCACCGTGTTAGCCAGGATGGTCTCGATCTCCTGACCTCGTGATCCGCCCGCCTCTGCCCCCCAAAGTGCTGGGATTACAGGCGTGAGCCACCATGCCCAGGCGATCATGGTGCTTTTAACCTATAATCTTTCTTTTGAGGTTCTGAAATGTTCCAGAAATCCAAACAGACATCTTTTTGAGCTTTGCTATGTTCCTGACAAATAGTGAATGAATGCATCCTTTTCCCCGCTATATATAGGTGAATTAAAGAAAGAAAACACTACTGCGTGGAATTCAAAAGCATTATAGAAGCCTCCTACCTCAGAACGATAGAGATGCAAGGACCCTTAAGGGTTTCTCCTGCAACCTTCCACCCAGTTTCCTCCACTTCACCCCTGGCTGCCAGCCTCTATGTGCCAGGATACTTCCTGTTTTGTCTGGCATCTCATCTGCACTAGTGCTCTTCACGGACCCAATGTGAGCCTTCCCTGAATTTTACCTTCTTTGGAGTCTCACATAGAAAACTTGTCCCTCTCCTCAGCATCTCCACTTCAAATGTTTGAGAACTGTATTCCTGTCCTCTCATCTTCTTTCCTTCTGGCTAAGACTGTCTTTAAATTCTCCATACTATCTTACTGTTTGTGACAATAGTATATAAAATTTGTTGAGATAAAGATTATTATGTGCAAGGCACTGTCCTAAATGCTTTATTTGTTTGTTTTAATACAGCAGCTTATGTGTATGGAACACTCATTATCCCCAATACAACAGCTGCATGTGTATGGAACACTCATTACCCCCCACTCATTGTACAGATGAACTGGTTGAGGCCTATAAGGAGATGGCAGTAAACCCAGCTAGTATACGTATGGCTAGGATTTGACTCTAGAGTGTTGGCTACAGAATTTTCACTCTTATCCCATAGACTGTATCTCCTGTACTTTTTTAAAATGTTCCTAACAAAATAATATAGATAGATTGATTATAGATACCAGTTACTTCACTCTTAACCCATAGACTCTGTCTCCCTTACTTTTTTTGAAATGGTCCTAACAAAATATTATAGATAGATTCATTATAGATACCAATTACTGATGGGCTGCTAGTTCCTGGAATCTGTGGTAGGTGTTTTACACACATTAATGCTTAACCACACAAGAACTATGTAAGGAGATCTCATTGTTTGCAGGTGAGAAACCTGGGTGTCAGAGCTGGTAGTTACTCTGACCTCCCTCTTCAGAACAAACGTGCTTTATCAGAGAAGCTCATTCATTCACTCTTGCATTCCACAGCATTAGACGAATGCCTCATCTATGCCAGGCACTGGGCTAGGCCGTGGGAGTCCCTCTCCTCGTCATAGTTACATTGTAGCAGGAAAATAGACATTAAACAATGAATTACACCATTGTTGATTTAATTTGTGATTTTAGTCACTCAAATAAGGAACTAACATTATATTCAGTGCTGTAAAGGAAAAAGGAAGTGTGTAATAGGAGAGAATAACAAGAGGGTCTGATGCTTGTGGAATGAGAGGAATTAGCTATTCTGATGGGGAGCAGAGATGAGGGAGAAAACACTCCAGGTGAAGAGAACAGCATGAGCAAAGGCTCTGAGGAGGTGTTGGGATACAAGGAGAATGGCGAGGCCGGAGCAGGCCCTGCAGAGCCCTGAGTGCCAGATGAGTTTAGCCTGTGAAATGTAGAGTCGCTGAAGGTATTCAGCAGAGAAAGATGTCATTCAATTTTGTTTTGAAAAGATCACTCTGACTGCAAGGTGGAAAACGGACAGGCAAAAAAGAAGTGATTCCAGTGTCTCATGGTATCTGAGGAGCAAGACTCTTGCACCTGGAGCTGGACTCTGCCTCTATTAATACAGCCAGGGATTTGCACCTGGGGCAGCAGCACAGTGCAATAGTCAGAGGTGCCACCCGAGAGCCCAGATGCCTGAATTTGAAGCCTGGCTCTACTTCTTACTCATTATGCAACCTTGGCCAAGTTACTCAATCTTTTTGTGCCTCAGTTTCTTCATCTGTAAAATAACACCTACTTCGTATGGTTGTGAGATTATGAGAATTAATATAAACAAAGCACTTAGAACAGGGCCTGGCATAATGTTAATGTTCTTTTGCAATTATTATTATTGTTAACAGCCACACACTCTGTTGATTGGGAGTGGTTTTGGTTAATTAAATCCATAGGATTATTATAACATAAAAAAGTTTATGAGAGTTTTAAGCCTAACAAATCAATCTCTCTTCCCAACCCCAAACCACAGGCCATGCTGAATAAATACTCCCATTCCTCATGATTTCCCCTACCCCTGGCTGGTGTGTTTAACACTGGAATTGTGTCCACTTCCTTTTCTGTATCACAGTGTCTCATGTTATTCATTTGTTGTTTTGAGGATCTGCCTTTTGTCCACTCCTGGAAGAGATGTCCCCCTGTGTAGGCTGCTTTGAGCCTCTTTCATCACTTGCTCTTCCCCATCTTATTTAGGAATCAGCTTAGTTGTCACTGCCTCAGAGATTCCTCTACCATCACCCTTGTGGTGGACACTGTGAGGTGCCATCAAGAAATCCCTTCAAGATGGTACTTGTTGGTCCAGCCTCTGAGAGTGCAGTGGGCAGACAGCTTGCACTTGCTAACCTTCCCTGGGATTGCCTCGGCTACAGGGAGCTGCCTTGCCCAAGGTCAGATCCTTCCTCTGATAGCCTTCATCCAATAACTTGTTGATGTGGAGGTTATCAGGTCAGGACAAGTCTGCATGACTGTTCAAGCTCCAGGACTCCCTCAGGGTTGGCCAAGACTGTCCCTGGCCTACACTGCAGCTCGACATCTCCCTCTGCTGACCCCTGCTTCCTTTTCCCCCTCCACAGATGTAGATTCCAAAATCACCACGCATCCTAATACACATCCTGCATACTACTCTGTCTTGGTGTCTGCTTCAGGGGAGCCCGCCAACTTGACCATGGCCACTGCGCACTCTCCGCTGGGAGGGGACCATGTTGTTCCATTCTCACCCTTTGTATCGACTCATGAAGTACATTTTCTTTTCAGTACAAATCAGAGTCTGTCATGAACTGAATTTGTTGATTGCTTGTTTCCCCTCACACCCAGTTCCCTTTACTAAAATATAAGTCTTTTATTTTAGACTCTTTTTTAAAAAATCCAGTTTTATTAAGGTATACTTGTATGGCATGTTGACTATAGTCAATAATACTGTATTGTATACTTGAAATTTGCTAAAATATAAGATTCTTATCTTCCTCAAAGGCATTCAATAAGTATCAGTTGAATTAATGTACTATAATATAATGGTTAAATTCACCCTGCATTTGAAGCTAAACATCCTGGATTCAAATCCTGATTGTGATACTTGCTAACCAGTGATCTTGCCCAAGCTTTTAAATCCTGGAAACTATCAGTGCTTGGCCTAGGGCATGCATAGCACAGGGTAAGTGCTCAATAAATTTTAGCAGTTAATAGTCAATTCATTCATGGGGTTGTTGTGAGGATAAAATGAGATAATATATGCAACTGGCTTAGGTAGCATAGTACCCAACTCAGAATAAGCCCTCAGCAAATTTATCTATTGTTGGCCGGGCGCGGTGGCTCACGCTTGTAATCCCAGCATTTTGGGAGGCCGAGGTGGGCGGATCACGAGGTCAGGAGATTGAGACCACGGTGAAACCCCGTCCCTACTAAAAATACAAAAAATTAGCCGGGCGTGGTGGCGGGCGCCTGTAGTCCCTGCTACTCGGAGAGTCTGAGGCAGAAGAATGGCGTGAACCCGGGAGGCGGAGCTTGCAGTGAGCCGAGATCACGCCACTGCACTCCAGCCTGGGTGACAGAGCGAGATTCCGTCTCAAAATAAATAAATAAATAAATACATAAATACATAAATAAATACATAAATAAATAAAAAAATTTATCTATGGTCATTACCAACTGTCCAAGTTAAATGCCTGGAATGCAAGTCTGTGGCCTCAGCCTTGGAGTCCCCTGCAGTGCCAGGCACCGCACTGAGTAGACTGGAGGCACAAAATCAAGGCTGGTGGGTTGACGAGCAATCCTTCCTCCTTCGTCCTCTAGGGCAGGGAGTGGGCTGCCTTTATTCTGAGCACTCCACAGCGCCTAACCCAAGGCCAGCCACACAGCAAGCACTTCACATGGGCACTTCGAAGAGCTGGTTTGAACTGAATTTCAGTGTCATTAGGATGCTAAAACGTGGTCTCCATGGTGACTCCCAGCCCAGCAGTCTGAGGAAGGTGCTTCCAGATCTGGTGGCTGGCACACTGCAGCCTCTAAACACATGCCATATTTTTTCACATTTCTCAGACAGATTGTGGGTTGTGTGTTCATTAATTAAGATGAGAGTAATTGGTCCCAGCAAATAGTTTGTACATCAGCTTGCAAATTATGTGCGCTACGAGGCCCCGTGGTTCTTTCTTCCCTATCTCATATCTCTATAGCTGGTTCCTTGGCTCCTGACTGTTTCTCCAAATCCCCAGCCCCTCATTTTACTGTAACAGTTGAGGAATAAAGGGAGAGTAGGATTTAAAATGAAATTTCTTTGGCTTATTGTAAGTCTATTCATGCCCATGGAGGGAAGAAATAATAAACACCCTCATCTGTATGCAATACTTTTTGATTTTCAACAAATGCTTTTACACATGCAATTTCATGTATTCCTCACTTTCTCACTGGGAATCAGTTATTATTATTGTTAAAGGTGTTAAGGGTTCAGGCTATAGAGCACCAGTTTTGTCTTTTCCACTTAGCAGCTGTAGAAATGGCAATTGGCTTGGGCTATCCACCTGCGGCTTTCCCATTGTGAAATATAGCGATGATCTAGGACCTACTTCATAGGGTTAAATTGTGGACTAGGCAAGATAATGCAGGGAAAGCACAGAGACCACATAGTGGGCTGTCAGTGTTTTTTGTTGTGAATATGCCCATTTTACAGATAAAAACTCAGGGCTCTGAGACACCCAGTTGCTTGGCCAAGATCTCTAGCTTGCAAGGGGCTTGATAGATGCTAGGCTTCAAGCTCTCTGATTTCTAAATAGACACTCTTTCTACTCCATGAGCTTAATTCTGTCTACCATAGGCTGAGTCTGTGCCAAGTGTGGGGGCCCGGGCTATACACTGGACTTTAGGTTCTGGTGCTTCTGGTCTACAGAGTCCTCTCTGAAAGGTTGTTATGAGCAAGGATCCTTGCTCCTGTGAAACATTTCCTCTGATTTTTTCCTATAGCAAGGCTAATTTGCAGCTGTTGTAAAGGTGTCATTTTTTTTCTTGCGTCACGAAATGACTCACACCCCTCTTCAGTTATTGTACCCCAAGGCCATTTTAACATTCTGTTATTTACAGCACTGTGACCCCAGAGCAGCCAAAAGGCTCTGCTGCTTGCCTTATTTTCTGTAATTATTTTGTTCTTTTCTATCCCTAAAACAAGCCTTTTGGTGCCAATGGAATGGGCCTCTTCGGACATTCTGTGGTGAAGGACCAGAGAGCCCCAGGTAGTGAGGACAATGTTGCCTTGCTTATTCCTGAGCAGTGCCTAGCTGAGTGCTTTGCACATGGTAATCCCTCAATCAGTACTTGTTGCATGAATGAATGAATAAATAAGTTGGTTGATAAATCAGAGTTATTAGTTCATATGCTGAGTTTGGCTCTGGCCTTCTCTGACTTTTCAGCTCTATCAGTCATCCATGTTCACATGCAATTGTCTCATTGTGTGCTTTCTTGACATTTCTTGCAAATGACTCACCCAGATCCTGGTGCATGTTCCTTCAGACGCATCTGTGTGAGGGCGAGCATGGTGTGTAGTATCTACTCATCTCAGGGCTGAGAAACTTTCTCAAAGCAGAAAGCCATCTGGGTGACTAGGTAGGCCCTCCATCAAATTCCTCACCTGACGGAGCATCAGGGCTGGAACTCCTGGCACCGTAGTGAGTGTCCTCACTCTGCACCAGGAACAGAACCTGGGGAGCTTGCCATGTCTCCCCATGCCTTGCTCTGTGACTGTGGACTCTGTGGAGCAGCAGAGCAGCAAGATGAAAAATGGATGTTTCAAAGAGGAAGCAAGGATAGTTGTATGGAAGGTCTTGGAAGCTGGAATAGCAGAGGCAGGTGGCCAGGGCCTTCCCAAGAAGCCCTCCTTGAATCTTGCATGGGATTCTACCATTTGAAGGTAACCAAGACCCACATATAAAACCATGCAATAGAGGAGAAAGCCCTGGCAAAGCTGTAGTGAGACTTGCACTATAATTCTTGTCTTACTACTTATGAGGTCTGTGACCTCTACCAAGCCCTGTAGCTTTCTGAGCCTCTGTTTCCTCAACTGTCTAGTGCCATAAGTTATCCCTGCCTGAACAAGGTGATGGCTATGGGGAAGGTTTGAGAAAGACCACTTATGCTACATAAGACAAACTGCGAGTGTTATTGGAGGGCAGTGAGGAGCTATATATAGGATATTTTAATACAGAGAATGTTCCCTGGATTAAATGGCTTCTTATTCCAAGGAGAAAAATTAGTTCTAGCCCAAGGCTAGTCATTAAATCAGCAAAATGATTTTTTGGGGCCTCAGTTTCCTTACTATTTGAAATGGAGGTTAGGTTAAATGACCTTTAAATTCCTACTAGGGGCATGTTAGGGTAGATACTAAGCTCAGTTAATTTGCGGATAGCAGATTAACTACATGGAAAAGGAGTCTCTCTCCATCTTGGGGAAAGGAAATCACATTTCCTGATACCTGCTCTTTGTCAGGTAGTTACATTCCCTACCTCATTTAACTGTCACACAACCCTATGGGGTGCAATAAACCCTATGGGGATACTAAAGCTTTATCAGCCTTTATTACCCTCACTCTACTGAGAAGAGAACAGCCTTAGAGAATGTTATGGGTGGAGTTGTACCCCTCCTCTCACCCCAAATTTATATGTTGAAGTCCTAACATTCGGTGCCTTAGAATGTGACTTTATTTGGGAATAGGGTCATTGCAGATAGAGTTAGTTAAGAGAAGCCATTGTTGGGGGGTGGTTCTAATCCAGTATAAGTGGTGTCCCTGTAAAAAGGGAAAATTTGGACAGACAGACACAGGGCCATGTGAAGACGAAGGCAGAGATCAGTATGACTCTTCTAAAAGCCAAGCAGTGCCAAAGGTCACCAGAAAACTGTAAGAAGCTAGAGGAGAAGCCTGGAACGGATTCATCTCACAGCCCTCAGAAGGAAATAGCCCTGCCAACACCTTGATCTTGGACTTCTAGCTCCTCAACTGTGAGGCAGTAAATGCTATTGTTGAAGTCGCCCGGTTTGTGGCACTTTGTTTCAGCGACCCTAGAATACTAAAGCAGAGGGGTTAAGCGACTTGCTCAGGGTTGCAAAGCTAGAACTCACCCGTGGGTCTTTTTCATTCGAAAGCCTGTGGATTTGTCACTGCATATTCTCTGATACTCTGAGGTGTTGAGCCCATGTGTGTGAAAGAGTGGGGTCAGTGAGGACGTTCCTGAGCCCACGTCAGACCTGAGCATCCTCTGTCCTGGCCACGACTGGTCCTTTCCCCTGCCAAAGGGAGGGATGGAGGCCCTGAGGACCCAGGCTCTTCCTTCTTCATCCTTCTTGCTGGCAGCACTGGAGGAAGCAGCAGGGAGGCAGGCAGCCTCTGGCTTGGCTGGCTTCCCCAAACAGTGTCCTCCCACAGTTAGATGTGGCATTCCCCTGCCGAGGAACCAGATGTTCCACGTTGTAATGTGATGTCATGGCAGGAAAAGGTGTGTGAGCAAAGGTAATCATGGAAGACACTGCTCGGGCTAATGTTGCCTTTTGCTTAACAGCCCATGGCTGCTGGCCCAGAAAGCCGAGAATTGGCAGTTTACCCTGGGACTTGTGCACACTCACTTACAACACTCGAGGCATGCTTCTCTGTTCTCAGGCCAGGACTTTGTGGGCCCTTGGGCAGGAGACCCCGAAAACCCCACAGAGGGTGCAGAAAGGGCAGCAACAGAGGAACTGTCAGGTAAAAAAAAGATCTCCTGGGCATCTGCGGTTTCTCAATTTACCCTTCCACTTATCTACCCTGTGAGGTGGCTTTCACCAGTCGCTCTTTACTCTGGGGAGCAGATGAGCTCAGAAATGTGAGGCGAGTTTTCCAAAGTCATACAGTAAGAAGAAGGAAATCTAGGGTGAAAAACTGGTCTATCTACAAGAATCTCTATGCTCTTTTATCCACAGCAGAGACCATAATACAAATAAACCTTGGGCACAATTCTGGCTGTCTTCTGAACCTCCTCCTTACCTTAGAGAGCCAGCAGAGAAGCCTGTTGGAAAGAGTTGGCTTTTGGTTTTCTTCTTAAACTGCAGATCCAACCACTTCATTCGGTGGGTGAGCCCCTACTGCCTATGAGAGATGTGCGGACTCCTTGGCCTGGACTCGCCTGATCTTTGGCTCCTTTGCCATCCTTCCTCCTCACCCTGCTGCTCTCCCCACACAGAAGCCAGCCTCTGGCATCCCCAGACTGCCCCTTTCCCGGATGTGTGCTCTCCCCAGCCTGCTCCTCCTGGCTTGGTGTGCCCTCCCCTGCACTACATGAAAAATCCTGCTCATTAGTCAGAAATCAGTCCCTTTTGTGCTGCCTTCCCGGGAGCTCCCAGGAAGTTCCAGCACAGTTGTCAGTGCTGTGATCGTTGCCTAGCATAAGGACCGTGAGTGTAGCCTCTGGAGTCAGACTGCCTGTTGGTGCATCCTTTCTCTGCCATTTCCTAGCTGTGTAACCCTGGAGAAATTGCTTAGCCTCGCTGTGACTTCTTGTGAAATGAAAATGATGATAATGAGTGCTTACTCCATGAGGTTATTGGGCAGACTGAAAATGGCAAGCATATAAAGCACTCCATGTGGTGGATTTGGCTATTTTTAAGTGTCTTGCTTGTTTATGCCATTAGACTGTGTGCTCCTTGAAGTTGAGGACTGCATCTTATTTTCCTTTGTAGCCCCCATAGTTCCTAAATGGGGCCTTGTGGCCAGTTGATAAACCTTTGCTAAACAAAAGAAAGATATGTGCATAAATAAAAAGAGATAACCAGATTTACAGTGGCATGTGTGTATCCAGCATCAACCAGGTGATAACAACACTAATAACAGAATTACCTAGCATGTTTATTGAGTTGTTACTGTGTGTCAGGTACTGTCTTAAACACTTTGCCTGTTACCTCATTCAATTGTCTCAACAACCTTCTTAAGTAGTAACAGTCATTTGTGTTGCCATTTTATGGATGAAGAAACTGAGGTACATGGGTTGCAGTGACTTCCCTATGACTACACAGCTAGAGTATAGCAGAGATGGATTCAACTCAGGCTGCCTGGCTGAGAGCCCATGCTCATGGCCACCCCATTTTGCTGCTTCCAAGGAAGGTGTAATGGCAGTGACCAGCCCAGGGAGGCAAAAGGAGGATCTTAAAATAGCAACCCATGCTAAGAGGCAGGACACAGTAAGGGAGACAGGCAGGGACAGGGCTATGTGCAGAGCAAGAAGGTGGGGCTGAGACCTTCACTGCAGATGGCCCTGGTACAGTCCTCACTTTCCTCTGTGAGCCAGTCCAGTTGTCTTAAAGGAACTGAGGTAGAGCAGATGGCCACAGATGTACAGGTGTGTTCCTACCTGAAGGCAGGAAGATGGGTACCATGGAGCCTTCCTTTTATTTTGTGTTGTGTTCCTGGCAATTAGCAGAAAGTCTGGCACTTAGTACATATTTAATATGCAAGATAGTTCAATGAATGTGTGAGGATTCAGGAACTCCAGGATTTCATAGCATGAACAGATATGCAATTTCCATTTATTTTACTTTAAACCTCTTCTCATCTGTCTGCCAGAAAGCCCAAGTTAGGAGAGAGGATGCACATCTTTCTGTGATGAGATTTTGCTTATCCAAGAAGCCCGCATCTCTCATCATCAGCTCATGCATAGCCTTCGAGAGCCCTGCACTCCTGTAGTTCCAGCGGGTAGCATTGCTATGAGTGATGAAGCCCCCGGATGGTCTCAGTGGTGAGCAAATATTAACACTTTGAATCAATTGCACCTTCTTGATGACTGGGAAAACTGTTCAGAGCCTGGCAGAGAGTTATTGCACCATGCAACAGTCGAGCGTGGCTGATATAGTGGGAGCGAATGGCGTAAATGAGTTTAAGGCTAAGATGGATTTGCACTTGGAAACTGAAATCATGCAATGGGGTTTGCTGGTGGAATTGCAAAGTGCACCTGGAAGAATGCCAAGAATAATGCAGATGTCTCATCCCGTGCTTTTCATTGTAGACAACTATAGAATGGGAAAATTAATAGTACTTACCTCATAAGGTAGCAAGTTGGTGTACATGAGTTAATATAAATAACTTAGAATGGTACTGAGTATGTAGTAAGCACTTAATGAGTACTAGTCAGCATTAACACATACTAGGCACCCATAATACAACTAAGAATAAGACAGATTGGATTATAAGATGGAGAGGATTGTTCTCACAAATCCTACAGTGCAATAAATGGTGTTACAACCAGTCATATAACAGTGTTGCAACTGTTGTGCAATGTGATAGGTGTTGTGATGGCAAAAAGAGTGTTGTGCAACTCAGAAGAGAGGCTTCCCTAAGCTAGACTTGGATGGTCAGGGAAGGTCTCAAGATAAGGTAGCACAATGGGAGGAATGGCAAGCAGGAGGTGGTCAAGTGGAAAACAGGTGAGAGGATGCTCCTAGGCAGCTTATGCAAGGACCTGGAGGTGAGAAAGACCGTGTTCATTGTGGGCACTCAATGTGGAGTTGGTGGGTATATGTATTCCCTAAAGCTGCCATGACAAAGTACCACAAACTGGGGTAGCTTAAGACAATAGAAATTTATTCTCTTGCAGTTTCTAGAGGCTAGGAGTCCAAAACCAAGGTGTCGGCAAAGCTATGCTCTGAAGATTCTAGGGAAGAATCCTTCCTTGCCTCTCTCTATCTTCTAGCAGTTGCTAGCAGTCCTCAGCATTCCTTGGCTTGCAGCTGTAGTGCTCCAGTTTCTGCCCCTGTCTTTACATGGCTGTTCTACTTATGTGTGTCTCGGTTTTCTCTTCTTATAAAGACAACAGTTATTGGATTAGGGTGGTTTCTAATTTGTCCTATTGGTCTAGACCCTATTGGTCTAATTCAATAGGATTAGACTCACCCTAATCCAGTATGGCCTCGTTTTAACTAAATACATTTGCAAGAATCCTGCTTCCAAAGAAAGTTATATTCTGAGTTTCTGGGTAGACATGAATTTTAAGGGGATGCTATTCAACCCAGTACAATGGGGGTGGCCAAGGGGAGTAGAAATGAATAAAGGTGAAAAGAAGACAGGAATCAGATTATGCAGGGATTCATAATTAAAAAAAATAAACATTCTTGAGCACTTACAATATATTAAGAACTGTGGTAGGCACTTTACACATGTAATATGCACAATCCCTTTGAAAGAGGGAGAATCAGGTTGAGTGAGGCCAGAGGGGAAAATCAGAGTTTACAAAGTGTGTCATCAATTAGGGTCCTAGTAGAAAATAGAAGGTACACTGGATTAGAGTAATTCAAAGAGGGTTTAATAAAGGGATTGTTTAAGTGAGCAGAGTATAGGGAAAACATACGAGTTACAGCAGTGTGCAGGGCTGCTACCACCCCTAGACATGGACGGTGTGGGTGAGGGAGCAGGTACTGGAACCAAGACTAGGAAGTCCTGTGAAGAAGCCACCTTGAGCAGAGCAGTGACTTTTGGTTGAGAAAGGAAGCCATCCTAAGGTGACTACAAAGGGAGGAAGCCAACGGAGTGAATACACTAACTTGGTCTCTTGTCAAGAACCTGTTGGCTTACCTCAACCGGAGGACAAAAGAGAACAAGAGAGCCCATGGTGTAGTCCACATGGATAGCATCTGGGGGCCCTGGGCTGAGTGAGGAAGCCTGAAGCATGGATCTGGAGGATCAGACAGAAGACAGCTTGCACTGGGGCATTGATGAGAAGGCAGAGCCTGAGAGCCAGAAAATGGGGGAGTTAGGTTGTGATGAGCAAGGTGACATAACCCAACATTAAGAATGCACATGAGCTCTCTCTGGTCCGTGCCTCCAAGATGACAAAGAAAAGAAGGAACAATGGTCGTGCCAAAAAGGGCCGCGGCCACGTGCAGCCTATTCGCTGCACTAACTGTGCCCGATGCGTGCCCAAGGACAAGGCCATTAAGACATTCGTCATTCGAAACATAGTGAAGGCCGCAGCAGTCAGGGACATTTCTGAAGCGAGCGTCTTCGATGCCTATGTGCTTCCCAAGCTGTATGTGAAGCTACATTACTGTGTGAGTTGTGCAATTCACAGCAAAGTAGTCAGGAATCGATCTCGTGAAGCCCGCAAGGACCGAACACCCCCATCCCGATTTAGACCTGCGGGTGCTGCCCCACGTCCCCCACCAAAGCCCATGTAAGGAGCTGAGTTCTTAAAGACTGAAGACAGGCTATTCTCTGGAGAAAAATAAAATGGAAATTGTACTTAAAAAAAAAAAAAAAAGAATGCACATGAGGCCAGGCACGGTGGCTCACACCTGGAATTTTAGCACTGTGTGAGGCCGAGGCAGGCGGATTTCTTGAGCCCAGGAGTTTGAGACCAGCCTGAACAACATAGGGAGACCCTGTCTATACAAAAAATACAAATAATAATAATAATAATAATAATAACTCGGTGTGATGGCACATGCCTGTGTTTCCAGTTACTTGGGAGGCTGAGGCAGGAGGATCACTTGAGCCCAGAAGACAGAGGTTGCAGTGACAGAGGTTGCAGTGAGCCGAGATGACGCCACTGCACTCCAGCCTGGGTGACAGAGTAAGACCCTTTCTTGAAGGCCTGTGACTGCTCACCCTCATTCCCTATAGTACTAATATAGATTTATGCGTACATTAGTCTATTCAACATGTATTTGCTGAGCATCTAGCATATGTCCATCACTGGTCAAATGTATAGTGGTAAACAAAGCAAACAAAATTCTCTGCCTTCAAGGAGCTTACATTCTGATAGGAAAAGTAGATAGTCAACAAATAAAGAAAATATACTGACTGTCAGAAGATGATTAAGTGCTATGGATAAAAACAAAGCGGAAAAGGGAAAGAGGGAGTACGAGGGGTGGGGTTGCAAATGGAAATAGAGTAGAATGAAGGTGATATGTGAGCACAGATCTAAATGGAGATGAGGGAAGACACCATTCTGATACCTGGGGGATGAGAGTTTCAGGTAGAAGGAAGGTCAAGTACAAAGGCTATAAGCCACAGCATGCCTGGAGCATCTGAGAAGAATCAAGGATGTGCATGCTAGGAACTGAGTGTGATGAGATCAGAGAGGTAACAGGAGCCAGATCTGCAGATCCTGTGATCTTTGAAGGTCTGTGTTCTGCATGATACAACAGCATATTCTGAAATCCTGGCTGTCCCACATGAACATTGCTCTCCCATCTGTTAAATGGGAATAAGAGTCCTCATTTTGCTTATCTCCAGTGGTGTTTGTAAGGGTCCAGTGAAAAGATGGGTTATGGTATAGCTTTGAAAATCATTAAGTATGAGGTAAGATAATGTTTGTATTGCTTAGTAATTTTGCCTCAGGCCACCTGCTGCTGAGTAGAAAGGCTGCCCATGCCTTCACGAATGTGGCTGTGCTGGACCATTGCTTGACAGCGGGTTGTCATCTTTTCACACAGAATCTCATCTTCGTCCTCTCCTGGGCCTCCAACTCCAAGGCCTCGTTTTTAAAACAGCAATTTCTCCCCACTGTGTTTCATGCCCCAAACCTCCTAAGTGGAATTACAGACCAGTAACTCACAGTGGCCTGTTATTTATCCTATATGCAATAAAGACTTTCTGTAGGTTATAGGAAATAAATGTGCTTTTTACTATCATCTGTAGTTCTTATTAAACTTATCCCCATGGTGAGGAAATATCTTTGTGAGACCAAGCAGTTTTATGTCCCAACAGCCAATGAGCTGATAATGGGTTTTATGTCTAGCTGTAACCAGCAGCATTGCAGACAGCCCTTCGTTCATTGCAGTTAGGAGATGCAGGTTTCTCAACCCATAGCATGTAAATACTTCTTGTTAATTTAGTGGTCCATGCTTTTAAATAGAGTATCTGTTGTCCCCATGCATGTCTGTTGGCTGAAACACAGAATCTGAGATGCCTTATGGAGCTAAAGGAAGAAACCTGGACCAAAAATGAATGGTATGAGGTTATGAAATAAAGATGGAGGAGTAGAAAGAACTCTTTGCACTGGTAGTCTTTAAGCCATGAGAATTTTAAAATTGTAGATATAGGAGTTATTCTGTTATCTCCTCTTGGCAGAGAAATGGAAGGAGAAAGGCAGCTAAAACTGATTGCTAATTATTCAGACAGAAGCAACTTCTCATCCTAGGAAACTCTAAGACTTAGCGTCTTTATCTGTGAAACAGGGATGATAATGCCATACTCCTAGAATTGTGATGCAAAGAAGTCAGCACAGTGCTGATGCCCAGTATGTGTTCAACAAAAAGAAAGCCCTTTTAGTTCTAGTGTTATTCTTCCTTTCTAACTTCTTCCCTCTTGTTCTTCCCTTCAGTATAGCATACAAGTGAAAATAACTAGCAGGCAACAATGTGGGACCATGGATTAGGTGAGAAGACAGGAAGTGAGATCCAAACAGAGATCAACAGCGAGTATGGTTGACACCATGGGAATCCCAAACTTTTGTATGGTAGTACAGCATTGATTTAGCTTGCAGACTAATTTCACAGAGTTATTTAAATGTAAGTATACAGATTGGGGTTCTCTGCCATAACTAGGAAAGGGAAGAAGGAAGTGAATCCATATTTTTTGTTACCTACCATGTGGCACCTACTTTCATATATTATCTTTACTATATTTCCAAGACAGCTGGAATTTTGGTCTATTTTCTATTTTCATTTACCATCTGCTATGGTTTAGATATTTGTCCCCTCCAAACTTCATGTTGAAATTTGATACCCAGTGTTGGAGTTGGGGCCTAATGGAAGGTGTTTGAGTGATGGGGGCAGATTCCTCATAAATAGAGTAATGCCCTTCCTCAGGGGTGAGTGAGGTTTTCTCTAAAGTTCCTTCGAGAGTTGGTTGTTGAAAAAGAGGCTGGCACTCCCCAGCCCCTTGCTTCCTCTTTCACCATGCCATCTCTGCACACATGGGCTCTCCCTAACCTTCTACTTTCTGCCATGTGCGGAAGCAGCCTGAGACCACCAGATGCCCAATATTGAACCTTTCCAGACATCAGAATTGTGAGCCAAATGAACCTTTTCTCTTTACAAATTATCCAGCCTCAGGTATTCCTTCATAGCTACACAAAAGAGAAAAAGAAAACTGGTACCAAGAGTGGGGTTTTGTTATAAAGATAGCTGAATATGTGAAAGCGGCTTTAGAATTGGGTAATGGGAGATGTTTGGGCCATGGGGGTGGATCCCTCATGAATAGATTAAGCCATTTTTTGGAAGTGAGTAAGTTCTTACTCTATTAGTTCCCATGAACGCTTATTGTTTAAAAAAGCCTGGCAGCTCCCCATTTTCGCTCTTGCTTTTTCTTTCACCATGTGACCTCTACAAGCTAGCACTTCTTTGCCTTCCATAATGAGTGGAAGCAGCCTAAGGCCATCACCAAAAGCAGATGTTGGCACTATGTTTCTTGTACAGACTGCAGAATTGTAAGCCTAGTAAATCGCTTCTATTCAACAAACAGAGAGCCAAATCATAAGTGAACTCCCATTCACAATTGCTACAAAGAGAATAAAATACCTAGGAATCCAACTTACAAGGGATGTGAGGACCTCTTCAAGGAGAACTACAAACCACTGCTCAATGAAATAAAAGAGGACAGGAACAAATGGAAGAACATTCCATGCTTATGGATAGGAAGAATCAATATCATGAAAATGGCCATACTGCCCAAGGTAATTTATAGATTCAATGCCATCCCCATCAAGCTACCAATGACTTTCTTCACAGAATTGGAAAAAAACTACTTTAAAGTTCATATGGAACCAAAAAAGAGCCTGCATTGCCAAGTCAATCCTAAGCCAAAAGAACAAAGCTAGAGGCATCACGCTACCTGACTTCAAACTATGCTACAAGGCTACAGTAGCCAAAACAGCATGGTACTGGTACCAAAACAGATATATAGACCAATGGAACAGAACGGAGGACTCAGAAGTAATGCCACACATCTACAACCATCTGATCTTTGACAAACCTGACAAAAATAAGAAATGGGGAAAGGATTCCCTATTTAGTAAATGGTGCTGGGAAAATTGGCTAGCCACATGTAGAAAGCTGAAACTGGATCCCTTCCTTACCTCTTATACAAAAATTAATTCAAGATGGATTAAAGACTTGAATGTTAGACCTAAAACCATAAAAACCTTAGAAGAAAACCTAGGCAATACCATTCAGGACATAGGCATGGGCAGGGACTTCATGACTAAAACACCAAAAGTAATGGCAACAAAAGCCAAAATAGACAAATGGGATCTAATTAAACTAAAGAGCTTCTGCACGGCAAAAGAAACTACCATCAGAGTGAACAGGCAACCTACAGAATGGGAGAAAATTTTTGCAATCTACCCATTTGACAAAAGGCTAATATCCAGAATCTACAAAGAACTTAAACAAATTTACAAGAAAAAAACAACCCCATCAAAAAGTTGACAAAGGATATGAACAGACACTTCTCAAAAGAAGACATTTATGCAGACAACAAACACATGAAATAATGCTCATCGTCACTGGTCATCAGAGAAATGCAAATCAAAATCACAATGAGATACCATCTCATGCCAGTTAGAATGGCAATCATTAAAAAGTCAGGAAACAACAAATGCTGGAGAGGTTGTGGAGAAATAGGAATGCTTTTACACTGTTCATGGGAGTGTAAATTGCTTCAACCATTGTGGAAGACAGTGTGGCGATTCCTCAAGGATCTAGAGCTAGAATTACCATTTGACCCAGCAATCCCATTACTGGGTATATACCCAAAGGGTTATAAATCATGCTACTATAAAGACACATGCACACGTATGTCTATTGCAGCACTATTCACAATAGCAAAGTCTTGGAACCAACCCAAATGTCCATCAATAATAGACTGGATTAAGAAAATTGGCACATATACACCATGGAATACTATGCAGCCATAAAAAAGGATGAGCTCATGTCCTTTGAAGGGACATGGATGAAGCTGGAAACCATCATTCTGAGCAAACTATCACAAGGACAGAAAACCAAACACCACATGTTCTCACTCAGAGGTGGGACTTGAACAATGAGATCACTTGGACACAGGGCAGGGAACATCATATACTGGGGCCCATCGGGGGCTGGGGGGCTGGGGGAGGAATAGCATTAGGAGAAATACCTAATGTAAATGATGAGTTCATGGGTGCAGCAAACCAACATGGCACATATATACATATGTATCAAACCTGCACTTTGTGCACATGTACCCTAGAACTTAAAGTATATATATATAAAAAAAATTTCTTCTCTTTATAAATTACCCAGACTCAAGTCGTCCTTTATAGCAATACAAAATGGAGTAAGACATCACAGTATTTCTCACACCTAGAACAACATGTAGCATGTAGTAGAGCATCAGTAATATTTGGTGAATGAATTATGGATACTTAGGAAAAGCTCAGCAAGACAAAATCTATCAGCCATGTGCCACTGTCCAACTCATAAAAATAAAGCAATGAGGGCCGGGTGCGGTGGCTCACGCCTGTAATCTCAGCACTTTGGGAGGCCGAGGCGGGCGGATCACGAGATTAGGAGATTGAGACCATCCTGGCTAACACGGTGAGACCCCGTCTCTACTAAAAATACAAAAAATTAGCCAGGCGAGGTGGCGGGCACCTGTAGTCCCAGCTGCTCGGGAGGCTGAGGCAGGAGAATGGCGTGAACCCAGGAGGTGGAGCTTGCAGTGAGCCGAGATTGCGCCACTGCACTCCAGCCTGGGTGACAGAGCAAGACTGCATCTCCATAAATAAATAAATAAATAAATAAAATAAAGCAATGAGGTTAATTCTTTTATTCTACCTAAATATTCCTTAGATTAATGATTAATTCCTTCTCTTCATCACACTACCATATGTCTAGTCCAAAATCCCATCATATTTCACCTTTATTTCTGCTGTAACCTACACTTTGTTCTCCCCACCATAACTGAATACCTGTCTTACTGCATAGCCAGAATTTAAAAAGAAATATAATAATATTACTCTCCTGTTTAATATCTTCCAATAGCTCCATGCTCTTTGAATATAGTACCAAACTCTTATAGGCTCACGAGAGCCTGTTGTAACTGGCCCGATAAATTTCAGACTCATTGCTTTTTCTTTCTGTTCTGGACTGTATTACTTTCAGATGCTCAACTGATCTATGTTCTCTTTTAACTCAGGGCCTTTGTACGTGCTATTCTGTTGGCCTAGAATACTGCCTTATACACCCTCTACACTTCTCCATACAATCCTCTATCTAGATGATCTCTACTCATTGTTATGGTCTCCATTTAATATCACTTCTTTAGAGTTCCCTGCATGAGATTCCATACGGTTCCCAACTTCATGCCTTCATGGTTTCCTGCATGCCCCCTTTTCAAACACTAATGGTTTTTTCAAAATAATTTCTTTCCCTACCAGGCTAAAAGCCCCAAGAAAGGAGAGGTGGATTCTATTTTGTTCACTGCTGTGTGTGTGTGTGTGTGCATATGCGTGTATGCCAGGCATATAATATGTATTCAATAAGTATCTATTGAATAAATAGTGATCATGTAATACTAAAACTATCCTGCAATGTGAGGTATCATTTCTATTTTTCAGATAAGAAGACTAAAATCTAAAGAGACTAAATTTCAAACTCAAGGTCATATAGCAAATAACATAGTTAAGAGTCAAATCTAAGTCTGGATCCAAAATCCATGCTCTTTCTTCTATTCCAAAATAATTTTCTCCAGCTAATCAAATATTCTACTTACCAGCAGGTCACAACCTATGTCATATACTTGGTTCTAATTTGGAAAGAATTATAATTTACCAGACACAATCAATTCCTTCTGCAATGATGCAGAAGGCCCCATAGAACCTTTCAATGTGGTTGCTGAATGACTCTGAGCATAATTATTATCGGAAAGAAGTGCAAAAATAGTTCAGGTTAAGATACATTCGTCAGCTTGCTCCTTTCTGCCCGTGGATGCCGCCGAAGAAGCATCGTTAAAGTCTCTCTTCTCCCTGCCATCCTGTCTAAGTCAGAGTCTCCTAAAGAGCCCGAACAGCTTAGGAAGCTCTTCACTGGAGGGCTGAGCTTTGACACCACTGATGAGAACCTGAGAAGCCATTTTGAGCAATAGGGAACGCTCACGGACTGTGTGGTCCTGAGAGATCCAAACACCAAGTGCTCCGGGGGCTTTGGGTTTGTCACATATGCCACTGTGGAGGAGGTGGATGCAGCCACAAATGCAAGGCCACACAAGGTGGGTGGAAGAGTTGTGGAAACAGAGAGCTGTCTCAAGAGAAGATTCCCAAAGACCAGGTGCCCACTTAACTGTGAAAAAGGTATTTGTTGGTGGTTTTAAAGAAGACACTGAAGAACATCACCTAAGAGATTATTTTTAACAGTTGGAAAAATGGAAGTGATTGAAATCATGACTGACTGAGGCAGTGGCAAAGAAAAAGGGGCTTTGCCTTTGTAACCTTTGACAACCATGATTCCGTGGATAAGACTGTCATTCAGAAATACTATACTGTGAATGGCCACAACTGTGAAGTTAGGAAAGCCCTGTCAAAGCAAGAGATGGCTAGTGTTTCATCCAGCCAAAGAGGTGAAGTGGTTCTGGAAACTTTGGTGGTGGTCGTGGAGGTGGTTTCAGTGGGAATGACAACTTTGGTTGTGGAGGAAACTTTAGTGGTCATGGTGGCTTTGGTGGCAGCTGTGATGTCAGTGGATATGGTGGCAGTGGGGATGGTTATAATGGGTTTGGCAATTATGGTGGTTATGGAGGAAGTGGCCCTGGTTACTCTGGAGGAAGCAGAGGCTATGGAAGTGGTGGACAGGGTTATGGAAACCAGGGCAGTGGCTATGGCGGGAGTGGCAGCTATGACAGCTATAACAATAGAGGTGGAGGTAGCTTTGGCAGTGGCAGTGGAAGCAGTTTTGGAGGTGGTGGAAGCTACAGTGATTTGGGCAATTAAAACAATCAGTTTTCAAATTTTGGACCCATGAAGGGGGGAGATTTTGGAGGCAGAAGCTCTGGCCCCTATGGCGGTGGAGGCCAATACTTTGCCAAACTGTGAAACCAAGGTGGCTATGGCGGTTCCAGTAGCAGCAGTAGCTGTGGCAGTGGCAGAAGATTTTAATTAGGAAACAAAGCTTAGCAGGAGAGAAGAGCCAGAGAAGTGACAGGGAAGCTATAGGTTACAACAGATTTGTGAACTCAGCCAAACACAGTGGTGGCAGGGCCTAGCTGCTGCAAAGAAGACATGTTTTAGACAAATACTCATGTATATGGGCAAAAAACTTGAGGACTATATTTGTGACTAATTGTATAACAGGTTATTTTAGTTGCTGTTCTGTGGAAAGTGTAAAGCATTCCAACAAAGGGTTTTAATGTAGATTTTTTTTTGCACCCATGCTGTTGATTGCTAAATGTAATAGTCTGATCGTGATGCTGAATAAATGCCTTAAAAAAAGTAGTTCAGGTTATTTATGTTTCCTTTTTCTTGGATGCCGGATAAACAGTTGTTGACTGGACTTTCAACTCAGGCAGAGAGATGATCTAGTTAAGTTCCTGGCCTGAGAGAGTGTCAATAGAAGAGCCCATATTTCTCACATGTATGGAATTGCGTGAAGATCTTTCATTTATTCTACTCTGCTGTAATTCAATGTGATTACTTTGACTAGTGAATGAGAGGTGGCTCTTTAACCATAAACAAGCGAATGGGTTAAAAAAAATCAAAATTAGTATCTATGCTTTCAATGAGAGGAGTGAAGGGGCTATGATAAAGATTAGTAGGACACAGGGGCTGGTGGCTTCATTGCACCCACACCCCTCATTTGTGAGATGCCACTCACCTGTACATCCACCAGAGGGCAGCAGCAGCAGCGAAGGCCCACCTCCCTGGTGCCACACTTCACACCACACTGTCCAACCACACGTGGCTATTGGGCACCTGAAATGTGGCTAGTGCCACTTGTTGAAATGATAACAGTTTGGATATGTTGAAAGATAACAGTTTAGATATATTGGATTAAAGAAAATATATTATTAAAATTCATTTCACCTGTTTTTTTATTTTACTTAAATGTGGCTAAGTGGCAAATTTAAGGTGACATATGTGGCTTGCATTCATAGCCCATGCTATATTTCTTTTGGGTGAAACTGCTTGACACAATCCATGGCATAATAAAACAGAATTTCCAAAATAACTAAAGTTTGAATCTCATTTTCAGGCTATGTATATATTATACAAATATCATGTCATGGTAAGAATTTGGAGGGATCTTGGAGCTTGTCCTTATTTTACAGCTAAAGAAACTGAGGCTCAAAGAGATGAAGCAACTTTGCCCAAGGTCACACAACCAGTAAGTGGCACGGCTGGGCTTTGAACTTCAGTTTCAAACAAAATCAGTTCTTCTCCACTCAGTGAGTGGCCCAGAAATTGTAGGTATCCCTGGACTTAAAGAGTGTACCTCTGAGAGCTCCCATCCCTCTATCCCCAGCACCAGTGGCTGGCACATGGCAGGAGCTCTGTTCTACAGCATCCAGTCTGTGTGAGATGCTTTGTTTACTGCACCACACAAAGGATACCAAGACAAGTGCTGCTCAGGCTCTGTTCTCTGGAAGCTCATGGCATAGTAGAGAAGATACCAGATGGACAGTAACCAATTAAAATTGTAAAACAAGTTCTAGCTAAGTACCTTGAAACTAATGTGGAAATGTGTTCAACCTCATTAGTAATTTAAAAAATGCAAATAAAAATAATGATATGACATTGTACTTTACTCACATCCTTCCTAGTTTCAGAGGGCCTTAAAGTAGTTCATAATCCTACCTTCGAAAAAAAAATCAACAGAAAATAAAATCAACAACAAAAAAAGAAGTTCTTCTTTATGTAAATGTGTTCTATGGGAGGGACAAGATGTCACCCAAGTAAATGATTTGGACGATATAAACATTTCAATTGCCGTGATGTCCTTTGCCTCAGTTTGCTTAGCTTTGAGAAAAGAAGTTAGTTATAGCCAATTGGATATTTGATATACACTAGGAAAAATATTTATCTTTATTTAGTTTAAGAAAATCCAGAATTCCCAGGCTTTTCTTCAGTATCAAAATGGAAAACTTACTTAACAGAAGAAACCAAAACTTATTCTGTCTCTGGTATCTACCACAGGACTTTACATATATCATGGACTTAACTCAATAAAGCCTTGCTGAATACAGGAAGGTACCTGCATTTATTCTATGCCAGTTATGTGCCCATATACCTTAACAGGCCTCTTTCTATAAATAAGGTCATTTAATAACCTTAAAACCCTGAAAATTTTAGTCTCCATTTTCAGATAAATAACAGAGGCTCCAAAAAAAAAAAAAAAAAATTGATAATCTTGCCCAAATCCCTAATTACCAGGGAGCAGAGCTGCAATTTGGACCCATAATGTATTTTGTTCCAAAGCTTGCATCTCTATGCTGTGTGAAAGGATAGGAGAATAAATGGAAAAAAAGAGAAGGAACAAAGGGGAAAAAGGGAAAAGAGGCAAAAAGGGAGAGAAAGGAGGCAAGAGAAGGATGGAGATGAAAACAAAGATGCAAGGGAAGAAAGGGGTGAGTGAGTATGGATTTCTACCTCTTTCAGCACATAGTCTAAAAAGAAAGATAAAGAGAAGGGTCAAAGCTTCCCTGGAAAAAAAATATTCCTAGCAATTTGGAGAGACAGTTTTTAAAATGGCAGGTTAGGAATTCATCTACTGTCGAAGGCTTGGCTCTCAGAAGTTCCCCCAGGATGGTTTCTTCTCTTGCCACCTCATTATCGCCGGGAACAATCTGCATGGCCAGTAATGAGAGGATCTTAATGCCGGCAGTCTCAAGAGTGGGTAACAGCCCCGCTCGCGGAGTTGGGGTCACAGGTTCAGGCCTGGATGCTGTGGAGAGAGCTGCGTGAAGCTGCAGACCGTCCCCCTGGACCAGCAGTCCATTAGCCCTTACCCCCTCGGTATGGCAGTAATGAGTAGGTGAGGCCCACTCCACAGCCCCTGCCAGCAGACCCGTCGGAGTGGGGTTGTGGCCTCCCAGTGGCAAGTGCTTCCCGCTGCCAGCCCTGACCAACCTGCTGTCCTTGCAGTGCTGTCGGCCGGCCTGCAGGATAGGGTTTGTCAGGATTCAGGATCCTCTCAAATTCTGCTCCTAACAACAATGCAATTAATTAGGGAGCCAGATAATTTAAGCTTTATATTCATAAACTATAATATTTATATAGATTCCAATTGTATGTTTTCATCTGTAAGCCCATTCTGTATAGTAGAAAAAAACAGATTTTCTAGTCAGAGTTCTAAGCCTAGCATCCCTCTATTAGCTATGTGACCTTGGGCATACTACTTCATTTCTATGAATCGTGGTTTTCTCACATGTCATGAGGAATATTAATAATACCAGCCTTATAGGTTTGTTCAGATTATTATTATATATTTGTTATTAATAACTAACATTGAGTCCTATGTATTGGGTTCTGTGATAAGTGCTTTTATACATATGATTCTGAATCCTCTGAACTCTGCATGTAAATATTACTCTTATCCCTAATCGACAGATATTGAAACAGGGTAAGACTGAGTTAGTACGTGTCAGAACTGGGATCTGAAGTCTGGTCTCTCTGACAACCTTTGTAACCTTAACCACTATGCTATAGTGAAATTATGAATTCAACACCCAGAGTAAAAGCCTGATATGCAGTACATTGTCAATAATTATATTAGTTCTTTCTCCTCTCCTTTTCTCTTTGTCTAATATAACAAGAGACACTCAGAAAACATAAATCTGTCTAGGTATTTCAAACAGGAAAGATTCAATAAAGGAGTTGGTCGCATACAAGATGGAAGAGCTAAGAAGCGAAAAAATGATATTCAGACAAGTCAAAGAGCAGCAGTAGGAGGAAGCCACTGTAACCCCTAGGCTAGAGGAATAGGGAAAAAAGGTGGTACCACCAAATCCCAGAGACCAGGGTCACCTTCAGAAGCTAGAAGCACAGAGAAGCCCTGGAGGAAATGCTACCATTTCTGGAGATGCAATCCCAAACCAGGAAAGCCAAGGGTAAAAATGCCCTGTCCCTCTTCCCTCCTTCTGGTCTCCAACTTACCACAGCCTCAAATTAGTAATACATAATCAGAAACTCAAAAAGAAGGAAGCTAAGGAAATGTTGTTTCCTGAAAATTTTTCAAAGAAGGACAGAGGGAGCTGAGATTAAATATACAGGTAATTGACACATCTACAATGCTATAAAGTAGTTAAGTTGTGGTGAGCACAGTGGCTCACATCTGTAATCCCAGCACTTTGAGAGGCCAAGGCAGGCGGATCACGAGGTCAAGAGTTCAAGACCAGCCTGGCCAACATGGTGAAACCCCATCTCTACTAAGAATACAAAAATTGGCCAAACGTAGTGGTGTGTGCCTATAATCCCAGCTACTCGGGAGGCTGAGGCAGAAGAATCGCTTGAACCTGGGAGGTGGAGGTTGCAGTAAGCCGAGATCGTGCCACTGCACTTGAGCCTGGGTGACAGAGCAAGACTCCGTCTTAAAAAAAAAAATGTGGGTTGTGATTATCCTCTCTGTTTGACTCTGTCAAGTATTCATTTCATGGCACAATAGTGATCTCATTTTATAGATGAGAAAAGAAAATCCAGACATTAACTACTACTCCCAGAGCTCCAAAGAGGAAGTGAGTATTAATTTTGTGAGATTCACGGAAGGCTTTAGAGTAGGAGTGACTGTGAGGACATCATGGGTCATGGGTGAAGAGAGTTTTGTCAGATGGATCAGATTGAAAAAGCACTACAAGCAGTGGAAATAGAAGAGGTAAAGGTATCGATCCATGTATTGAAGGGTTTGGGCTAGACTGTCTCTGAAGTTTCTGCCAACTCTTTTTTTTAAACTTGAAATTCTACTAGAAGTGAAAGAAATATATTATCCAAATTGTTTTTTATAGTACCTAAAGGCATTCATTTTCTAATATGAAATTATATTACTTGACCCATTTATGTAGGCACTGTGATGTACCTTTCATGTTGATAAAGAAATTAGTACATAGATGGAGCAAATGCCACTAACAAGATCGGCTCAAAAGGGACAGAGAATTTTGGTCTCTTATCTGTCTTCTTACTACCTTGTGTTAACAGTTTGGAAAGAGCAGCACAGCGCCTATACATTAACATTTTGGTGATTCATTCCTTCTGGAATATACTGTCAGGACATTTGATCTGCATGTATTTCCTTTATACACTCCTTTGTGCTGAATTTGATGGATAAACTTTCCTACTGATGTTACACACCACATTTCAGCTATTAGCATGCAACACCTTTGCTCTTAGAATCTTTACCTCTAGCTTCTCCTGGCTCCAATCCATCACCCCACAGTGTAGTAAATGGACGGCTCATTTTGAAATGCAAATCTGATTATTATAATGCCTCCCCTCCGCCTCACTTAATATCTGTCTGTGGTGCCCCTTGCCTTCAAGATAAATCTAAGCTCCTCTAATATCTTTGCTCCTTCCTAAGTCTCTCAGTACTCCCTGCCTTGAACTCTGAGTTTCAGATGTGTTGAAGTACTGACTATGCTCTTTTATGCTTCCATGCGAATAGTCTTTGCACATGCTGTCCCCGCTAGAGTATCCTTTCCCAACTTCTGTCCCAAGCAGTATCTATTTCTTCCTAAGGGGATTTCACCCTGCCCCCATCTCCCTCCTTTTCCTTTGTGTTTTCAATGCGCCATGCATATATTGCCAGTATGGAACTATCGCTCAGTATGTGTAGTTTTGGGTGTGTACAACCTGCTTGAAAGGCTGGCATGTAGTAGAAACTTAATAACTGGCAGCTCTGGGGGTTTGTTGTTGTTACTTTTATTCATTGCTATGTTCCTAGTGTCTAACAGTGTCTGAT
The DNA here is from genome assembly GCF_000001405.40 of Homo sapiens. NCBI lineage: Eukaryota > Metazoa > Chordata > Mammalia > Primates > Hominidae > Homo > Homo sapiens. Next base: position 58,042,386 of record NC_000001.11, on the reverse strand, counting down.
ACACAGTAGATATCAAATAAATGTTTGTTGAATATCCTAAAAGTTAGAGGTTCAAAAAGAGAAGTAAAAATAAACAGTTTTAAAGCCTCTATTTATTAAAATGTGGTACCATTAAAAGATTGTCTTTAAATCATACCTGCTTCAGAAGGTTCAGTAGGAACTTGCTTCCACAGATAAGAAATCCAGCCGTGAGTTTGTCAGAAGTAAGTACATTAAATAAGCCAGATCCTCTTTGTTCATGGCTATGTGCTTTTATTCATTTCCTTTGCTCTTTAACCCAACAGCCAGCCACCTGAGACAGGGCTCTAGTTTAATAAGCAAAATTATTCCCAGAATGGAGCTGACCTGGCCAGAGACATTTAATAAGGAAGAGACTTGGTAGATAAGGATGGATATTTGTGGCTTCTACTATTTATGAATCATCCAAAGTCCAAACCATGCAGACACTTAAACTGAGAGGTTGGTGTTGGGGATAAGCCCTTTCTTAGCAGGTATGCATGGCCTATCACCCAGCAATCAGGGATTGGTACTATTTTGTGGTTCTGACTCTGGGAGTGGCTAGTTGATCAAAGCATTCTTTCTCAGCCAGTCCTGATGCAGCCTCGTAATCCTTCATAGCCTAGAGCACACAGGAAGCCAATGCCAATTCTAGCTTGCTAGAGGAATTTGAGCTGCCAAGCCCAAGGCATTGTCAAGGAGGCCCTTCTTTGAGGGTGGTGTGTGGTAGCGTTTAAGCATCTGCACTCTGCAGCCAGACTGACTTGGAATCTCCACTGTGTACTCTTGACACTTGTTAGCTGTGTGAGCTTAGGCAGGTTACTCTACCCCACAATGTTCTAGGTTCTGCAACTGTAACACAGGGATGGTAATGAGAGGATCCTAGGTGCCAGGGTTTTTAAATGAGAGTATATAGACCTTAATGCTCAGAGTTGTGCCTGAAACACAATACACGCTGTATAAGCCTGGCTCTTATGAGACAGCCCACAATCATATGCTGAGGGCCTAGTATATTCCAAGTGTTTTTCTAGATGCTATTTCCAGAAACATAGAGATGAAAAGATGTGGCTCCAGCGTCAATAATCTCAGCCTAGGAGAGATGAGAGACAAGTAAGCCAATCGTTGCAATATAGCGCAATAATTTGACAACTGTAATATGCAGGCTTGCATAAGATTATGTGAGAGCTCAGAGGGCCTGGGTTCCTGGGTCTGCTCAATAGGAAGACTTTAAAGGCTTCACAGATGAGGAGACACTGGAACTAACTCTTAAGAAGGAGTTGGGTTTGGAAAAAAGATTATTAGGAGAGTATGTTTCAGATAGGCAGCAAAGCATGTGCAAAGATGCAGAGCTAGAGACCAGTGTAGCTGTTTACGGAACTGTAATGTATCCAGGGGGTGATGCATAGGTCTGATGAAGTTGGAACAGGTGAGGTTGGGGAGTTCAGCAAGAGCCAATCCCCGGGGTCCCAGGTGCAACCTTTAGGAGGTTGGACACAATTCTGTAGTTAATTAGGACTCTCTGAGAGTTGTGAGGTTCAGGAAAAGAAGAGAGAATTGAAGTGGATGCCTTTTGTTGCACTTTGTGCTGTTATGTTTATTTTGAAGAGAAAAAATATGAATACATCAGAAACTAAGCTTTCATGAGATTGACATTAGACTGCAGTTTCTGTACATTCAAATAGAATATTATGAGCTAATTCTATTTAGACATGTGGTATATTTTTAACTCTGTGATTCCTCTTCCAATGTTCTCAATCCGCAGGAAACTCATTTAGCCTGAAGGTTCTGAACCAATTACACAGTTTTATAAGGTCAAAATAAAAGTTGGGAGTCATTTTATTTTTATCTGTACTGGTAGAAATTACAGAATCAAACTGCTTTAATAAGAAAAAACACCAGGATGAGAAAAGTGAAAATAGAAGTGTCAGCACCATCAGAGATTTCTGCTGCGTCTTGGATGCCGGCAGATGAGACCAGGGTTGGGCTGTGAAGTCCTTTGACAACCCCGTCTATATCCCTGAACAAGTTACCAGGGCTTCAAGAGGGATAGACATGAAACACAACATCCTTCCACTCTTATTAAGATTTAATCATGCTTTCAACAGGATTGCAATGTTATTAAATTAGATTTTTTTTCTTCCTTAAAAAGGGATTTAACTTTTGCTTTCCTGACATCATAATCAACATGGAACAGATGCAAAGGGGAATTGGGTGACCACTGGTAATATGGACCTATACTTAACATGTAGCATGTGAAGTTACTAAAATGGAAATTAATTCCTTTTATTACTATCGTGCCCTATCAATTAATTTGGTTGGAGATGCTTATGAATATGCAATCATTCCTCCCAGCTGCCCACCCCTTATTCTACGTGTGTGGAAAGCACTGGTGAAGCAATAGGTAAAATTTTATATATTTTTTTGCTAGTTTTGCTAGCACTGTTCCTCTTTGCTTCCTAACAATAATGGATAATATTGATAACTAATAGTTATTAAAATCTTCCCATGTCCCAAGCACTTTTGTAAGTACTTCATATTTATTGTTTTATTCAACCTCGACAATAAATTATTAAGATGGGTACTTTTATTATCCCTGTAGAAAGAAGAGAAAAATGGGACAGAAAAAGGTGAGGAAATCTTTTCTAGGTGGCCCAGGCATTCTGACCCCTGTACTCTTCACTACCGGGCCACACTGCCTCTTACTGGCTCCAGGTGCAAGGACTTGGGGAGAGGCCAAAGTCTCAGATGTCAAACTCCTGTAGGCTGAAAAAGAATGTGGGGGACGGGGGATGGAACAGAAGGCTCTGAGCGGGGGTCAAGTATTTTCAAATATAGGTTCTGTTATTATTTTGGTATGGCAAGGCCAACAGATCAGGAGATGACTCCCATTGAAAAGATAGCTTGTTACACTCACAGACCCCAAGACAAAGTGCCATGCCTTGTGGGGGTGCACACTCAAGGCACCAGGATTGCTCAGGAGGTAGAGGGAAGGCAGGACCCTGATCAAGAGCCTTTATTGTGGTTTCTGTGGGAAGGAACAGGTGAGGCAGTTTGGCTGGTTTAGATAATTTAGCAGGCTCTGGGGAATAGAGGCTGTCCCCACTGTCTGGTTCCTGGCTCAGGTATAGGGGCAAGTGGATAAATGGGCTAGAGTAGATAAAGGAGGTGGTTGGGGATATGGATTCTAGAGCGATTGGTTAACATTTGAAAGGTGAGCTCCTGAGAGAGTTTGTTACTATCTCTAGGAATTAGCTAAGCCTGGGAATGGAGTAGCAGTCTGCAGTAACAGCAAGGCCCCAGACATCAAAGCATCAGAAATACAGAAACTAAAGAGACATAGTTAACAGAGTCGGGGCTTAGTGGGGTTGGTGTGGGGAGCAGAGTGGGCTGTGGAGGCTCCCTAGGGAAGGCAAGGAGGGTGGGATGGCCAGTAAGAAATTAAGACCCGAACGTACATATGATGGTCTCCATTGAGGGATGGGGAATTGGAGACACTGAAATTAAGCGTTGAAGTATCTTTGGTCTTTTGATATTATTCATAGCACATATTTAACTTTCTACATGTATTAAGCTTTGCAGGGAAGGGTGTTATGACTCATCATTGCAGCTGGGCATTGCTTCCTTGGGAGCAGGGACCTTCCTTTGTGTTAATCCACCTTGCACTACCCTGAAGATCTGATGTGAGGCTTGCTCTCCCAGAATGGAA